>NC_000010.11:56052186-56203701 GCF_000001405.40 Homo sapiens
ATTGATCCCAGGTCCTTAGTCAAAACTCAACTGTGAACCAGAAAATGTGAAAATTTACCTATAGCCTGGAAGCCCCTGCTTCAAGTTGTTCTGCCTTTCAGGAACAAACCAATGTACGGTAAATGTATTTGGTTGATGTCTCATGTCTCTCTAAAATGTATAAAACCAAGCTGCACCCCAACCACCTTGGGCACATGTTTTCAGGACCTCCTGAGGGATGTGTCACAGGTCATGGTCACTGCTAATTGGCTCAGAATAAAGTTCTTTAATATTTTACAGAGTTTGAGTCTTTTCATCGACAGTATACTTGAAAATTGCTGAGAGTAGATTTTAAGTGTTCTCACTCCAAAAAGTAAGTATGTGAAATAACGAATATGTTATTGAGTTGATTTAGCCATTCCACAATATATGCATACTTCAAAACAACATACTGTACACAAAAAGTTGTATAAATTTTGTTTTCTGTTTAAAAATTTTAAAAATAAAAGTAAATAAATGAATTAATGTAAGTAAGAACTGTAAGAGTTACATAAAGAGGAAAGAAACACAAAAAGTGACTCAACAGTCAAAGACAGGTTTACTTTGGAGAATAAACCTGAGCGGGGCTTCTGGCTGATTTCATTCAGGAGCACTCCCTCTTACAGACTAAGATTATTTAAGGGTTCAGGAAGAGAGAGCTTATCACAGGCTTGGAATGTTTCTGTGTGGAGGAGAAGTTTTTTGCCAGGTTGGGATGTTTCTGGTAGGAAGGGAGGTTATCTTGGGGCTGACATCTCTTTGGCCAGAGGGGAGATTATCTTGGGGCTGGCATGTTTATGGTCAAGGAGAGGTTTATCTTAGGGTTGGAATGTTTCTGTTCAGAGATGTCATTTGTGGTTTATGGTCATGTTGACATTAACCATTAGGCTGATGCCCTTTGGTTTGGATTTAGGCAGTTTTTGATCAACGAGAACTTTAAAATTGTGGTGCTTGTCCAAGATGGCAATGCTCCTGCTCTGTCAAGAACAAAAATTAATGAAATGAAAAGCAAAAAAATAAAAAATACATATTTTTTGTATATAAAATATATATTTTTATGTATGAATTTTATATATATGTATGTGTGTGTACACACACACGTATAAATTCAGTGAGGCTGATGGGGCTGGAATTAGGTCACACCTGGAGATAAGGTAATATGCACTAAAATATTCTAAACATCAGAATAGGAGTCACCTTGAATTTTTTTTGAATTTCTAATCCATGCATGCACTCTAAGCTAATAGTAAGCTTTGTGTGCATAGGTTGTAACTCCATTATGCCAGAAAAAAAAGCAACTGGGGACTTCAAAATATTTGTGTGGATATATATTCTCATTTATCCTAGGTAAATACTTGGAGTACAATTACAGCAATATAGGGAAAGTGCTTGTTTACCCATCTCATAGAGGCTAATACCATTTAGAATGTCTCCAACCACCAGTATCTCACATTCCATCAACATTTGTATTTCCTTTTAACTTTAGACATTTGAATGGATGCTAAGTGGTTTTACATTGTGGTTTTAATTTGTTATTTCCCGATACTGATGAATAATGTTGAGCATCTTCTCATATATTTAATGGCCATTCACATATCTTCTTTGGGAAATATCTTTGAAACTGTTGTCAATTTTCTACTATTAATGTGTTTTATGTCTTTTTATTAAATGAATTGTAAGAGCTCTTATACTCTGAATGTAAGCACACAAATAAAAAGAGAGAGATAGAAAGTATTTTCTCTGTATACATCGCCTTAATTTTTTTGTATCTGTGTCTTTCATAAAGCAATAGTACTTTTTAATTTTTGGGGGTAACTATTTATTATTTTTCATTTTACATTTTGTGCTTTCTTTTCCTCTATCTATAACCTAGTGCACAGTCCAAAAGAATCCTTCTTTTACTTTTCTGTAGCATTTTATTGTTTTCTCTTATAGATTTAGGCCTATAATTCATTTCAAGTTAATCCATCACACTGAATGAGGTAATTGCTGAACATTAGTTCATCCATATGGATATAAAAATGTTCCAGCATAATTCAATGTGAAGATTATCATCTTTCCACTAAATTACTTTAGCATATTTGTTGAAAACTGATTGACAAAATTCACAGAAGTTCAATATTTGGAAAGATAGAGTAATATGAATACTAGTTTCAGTTCCAGACTTAAATAGATTTGTGTCATTGCGAGTTATATTTTAAATTATTTGTTTTGTTTGTGTGTTTATTTAAAATTTTTCTGATACATATCATTGTTACAGAATAAAGCAGGTACTTCATGTGAAAACATCTCACTTACTAAACTTGGTGTATTTTAGGTTCCCAACAAATATTTCAAACATCATCCAATTTTATACATGAAAGCACAAACTTAAGATATTGACAGAGGCTTTTTATCAGCAATTGTGTTCATATTAAATTCACTCTTTTGCTGGAGACTGAATACATATGCTTTATTTTTCATCTGTCAACTCCTGAATCCTTCTGAAGCTCATTTCAGATTTCAAGATCCTCTCAATATAGTTTATCCTACATTTTGCTCTTACCTCAAACCTATATAGAATTTTTACTGGAAAATAATAAGGTCTTATTTATCTTGGGGCTACTCTAACAAAGTACCATAGACTGAGTGGCTTGTAAAGAACAAAAACTTGTTTCTGACAGATATCAGGGTGCCAATATGGTTGTGTTCTGATAAGATCCCTCTTCCAGGGTGCAGACTGCTGTTTTCTTCTGTATCCTCATATTATGGAATAAGAATAAGAGAGCTCTCTTTCATAAGGGCACTAATCTCATTCATGAGGGCTTCATCCTCAAGACCTAATTACCTCCCCAAAGCATCCTCTACTATAACATTGGAAGTTAGGAGTTTAACATATAAATTTTGGTGGGACACAAAAATCCAGTTCATTGCAATTAGAACCCCAAACTACTATATATCTTCACACCTTTCATTATTCTTTATTTGTATTACACTACCTAAAGTTTTTTTCCCATCGCCAAATCCAATACATTTTGTAGCTTTCATTTTTCAAGAAGAAGCTCCAGTAACTTGTTCCCAATTTCAGTAACTCAGTGACTTTTCCTCCTTCTGAATACCTGTCATATTTTCTACCACTCACTTCATTAACCCAGGTCGGAACAGAGCTTTAGATGAAACATTGCATTTCCTCAATCATTACAATTTTTTTGTTTCCATTCTAACTCTGCAAGCTTGTTTAAGCTAACCCTTCAACTTACGGACACTAGAAAGTGGATGCCAATTTACTGGGGTGCAGTGATTCATATAGGAATCAGTTTAGTCACTTGCTTTTTTTCTTCTCTCTTTTATTCATTGATACTGCAAATGGTGCCCAACCACTAAATTATCCCCTTAAAATTTTTTTTAAAAATCTGGTCCCATTACAGATTCTAATCCTGAAATCTACTTATGGGGCTAACTGGGTCTTATTAAGTAAATCATTTTACTTTACTTTTCTGAGCATCAGCTCCTTCATCTGTACAATGAGAAAGTTTTACCTATTTCTAGTATTGTTTTCTTCATCAAAATAAAAGCTGAATCATTTTAAACTCTTAAAGTATTGAGTATATACAATATATAAGTCGATATGGGGCAGGAATCACTGAAAAAAATATATATATTTTATTATTATACCTTAAGTTCTAGGATACATGTGCAGAAAGTGCAGCTTTGTTACATAGGTATACACGTGCCATGGTGGTTTGCTGCACCCATCAACCCATTATCTACATTAGGTATTTCTCCTAATGCTATCCCTCCCTAGCTCCCCACCCCCCGACAGGCCCCAGTGTGTGAATGTCCCCCTCCCTGTGTCCATGTGTTCTCTTTGATAAACTCCCACCTACGATTGAGAACATGCGGTGTTTGGTTTTCTGCTCCTGTGTTAGTTTCCTGAGAATTATGGGATCCAGCTTCATCCATGTCCCTGCAAAGGACATGAACTCATCCTATTTTATGGCTGCATAGTATTTCTTGGTGTATATGTGCCACATTTTCTTTATCTAGTCTATCATTGATGGGCATTTGGGTTGGTTCCAAGTCTTTGCTATTGTGAATAGTGCTGGAATAAACATATGTGTGCATGTGTCTTTATAGTAGAATGTTTTATAATCCTTTGGGTATATACCCACGCATTCTTTAAAGTAAAAAAGGTATCCTATTTTAAAAAATGGACTAGTTTAAGTCACTACAATTGCATATCTCTCCTGAAGGCAATAATCAGACTTCAGAGTGCCACAGAAATGCTTTCTGCATAATACCTCCAATTTTTTCATAAGAATATTAAACTACATGTATCTGAGGGTTATCATTTAATAAAAGTGAAATGCTTTATCACTTGACTAATGGCTTTCTTAAGTAAAACTGAATAGTCTGACAAGTACTATTAGTGAACATTTACTGCTAGTACAGATTGGTGTGACTGTCCTGATTTTTGCTAAGGCTGTGGTGGTTTACCTAATATTGTTTTACACTATAAGTGAAAATGTCAACGGAGTAAAAAGGTGATAAGCATCTTCATATTATTTTTAAAATAGTTTTAATCTTTAAGACACCAAGAAAGGGTCTCAGGGATCCTCAGGGGTTGATATAGCCCACTTTGAAAACTGCAGCAGTAAATTATGAGGGATATCCCAAAGGATTATTACATGGCCCTCAAATTAGAACTTCGGTTGTCTCCCTAGTGTATAGACATTTTGTGGTATTCTCTGTTTGAAATAGAGAAAAAAATGCCAAAATTATAGCTGAAAACCAAGTTTTGATTAGATCACATAAATGAAGCACATCTTGAAATGCATCTGCAATTAATGTCACCACTCTTCGTCATTTTCCAAGTATCACCTAACTTCTGCCTAAATTAAACAAGTGAAATGGTATGCATTAAGACTCCTTTAATCTACATTTTCCAAATCTTTGGTAGTAGACCTAATCTCACTGATTCCACAGGGATGTGGTATATCTTTTGGTTTATAATTTTAATATTTAGGAAACAATCTAAGGCCCACCTTTGACTTTTTCTTCAATTTTAGTCCAGAATGCACAGATTTTTTTTTGCCAATGTTAGGATTCTGCTCCAAGTGTGCATTCAAGATCAGGAGAAACAATACCAGGCTGAAAGTCCTTTTCTGTTAATAATATTAAATGAGATATTAGCATGCTTCCCATCTACTTAAGTCCTAAACAATGTCATGAACAACTAGATGCCTCTGAAGATTTTTGTGGGTCAAATTATAGGATTATTTATTTGATGCTGTTACCTACTATGATGATGACACTTACCTTGTCTCTTGTGGCTAAGTGTTGCTACCACTCCAGAATCCAATCATCTCCATGGCACCCAGAAACCCATTTCAATAGCAGAGTCTCCTGACTTCATTCGTAATGGATATATGACATCTATTACTGTTTTTTTTTTCAAGGGTGCCAGAATTCCCTTCATTGATATCTTTCCCAGTGGCTTGGTGAAGTGGCAATAGCCATAGTTAAGAGACAGGTATAATAAACCAGTTCCAAAGTCCAGATATTCAATCCAAGGGATATGTTCTATAGCCAGGGCAGAGAGTTGTCATAATTCCTGACCTTATGAGTTGAGGACTAGCTTCTCAGAGAAAGGGGCTTAGACAGAAGAAATCTCTTAAAGACCTCATGATGTGGAAATGTTTAGGAGCCTTCTCTCCTCATCTTATTACATGAGAAAGAAAGAAACTAACTTGTTTGAGCTTTTGTATTTTGATGTATTTGGGGTTATAAAGTTTAAGACTCAGCCCTGATTTAGTATAATGAAATGATACTGCTAAAGTTTGAATACTCTTTGGCCTCGATAAATATTTATACTTCCTATGATTCATGCTTATTTTCAAAGTTCATGTGCTTAGGTGTTTGAACATTGTAAATTATGTTTCTCATAGAACAAAGCCCTACTCGATGGGTTCTAGTTATTTAGTCCTATTTTGGAAAAAGCCAATATTCTTGCCATTCCACTGCTCTAAATAATTGAAATAAATTGTGGCACAATTAATTTGCCCTTAGCAAAAGGTTTTAAAGACTACAATTGGTCACTAAGACAGCCAAATCATCTGCCTAGTTATGCTACAACATGTTTTGGTGGTTGCATGAAGATAATGGTCTCAGCTAAATCAATTTCAAGTGCAGACATAAAAATTATTGGCACTTTGAAAATTGATGCCATATTGAAATTTCTTTTGCATCCTCTCCTTAAAGTTCTAAATGTTTTCTAAATAAAATATGTTTTGTGTAACATAGTACATACTGCTTATGATCAATAACCTATTGTTCTATTGAAATTTATATATATATAACATTTTCTCTTTTTTACTTCCATATTCATAATTCTGCTTACATTACCCATTCATTTATTCACTTAGAAAATATGTATTATATTACTACAGTCAGTCTGCCATTTCATGAGATTCTTGGAGATATTATATTTAATAAGATACATACTAAAAATGCTACATTCAAACTTGTGTTACTAGCTAAAACCATCTCTGATGTTATAAGTCCCAACTTTCTCTCCACCAATCCCTTAAAGTTCATTTTATGGTATAATAAGAAGCAATAAGCTGCAGTGATAACAACATAGGCCTTGGAGGAAAAAACAAAAACAAAAACAAACAAACAAATGAAAAACCTTGGGTTAATATGATACCTACCATGTAAAAGCATTGACTGGAACTGGAATTATTATTTAAACCTTGTGATATTTGGTTTCCTATTGGTCAAATAAAGATGATGATACTTAGATTATACAGTTGTTCTAGGGATTTAAGTACAACACTTCTGATTCTTACAACCTTCTAACTACTGCTGTGTTGTAAATTCTCACCACATATTTTAGCAGGTTTATTATCTTCTGCTCACCCAGAGACAGGCACATCAGAATTTGGGTAAATAAAGTAACAAAGTTTATGTTACCTTTACCTACTTTTATTCTTTTTTTATTTTTTTTATTTTTTACCATAGGTGGGCATTAAGCAGGTTAGTCCACATGGCTATGGTGTAATACTTTCTCTGTCTTCAAGTCTATACAAATGCACTCTGCACACTATACGTAGCTGATTATTTACTAATTTATGACTTTCTAATTTTTTTCTTTTTCAATTTTGCTATCTTTTCAACAAACTCCAAGCAATTCCAAATAAAATAACATACTTTTTACTTTTGTAGTATTCTCTTGATATGGTTTGGCTCTTTGTCCCCACCCAAATCTTATCTTGAATTGTAATCCCCATGTGTGGAGGGAAGGACATGTAATCCCCACGTGTCAAGGGAGGGAGGTGATTGGATCATGAGGG
This sequence comes from Homo sapiens, assembly GCF_000001405.40. NCBI lineage: Eukaryota > Metazoa > Chordata > Mammalia > Primates > Hominidae > Homo > Homo sapiens. The sequence goes on from NC_000010.11 coordinate 56,059,539, forward strand.
TGGTTTCCCCCACGCTGTTCTCATGATAGTGAGTGCATTCTTACAAGATCTGATGGTTTTGTAAATGGTAGTTTTCCTGCAATGATATACAGACTCTCCCTCACCTGCCACCATGTAAGACATGCCTGCTTCTGCTTCTGCCATGATTGTAAGTTTCCTGAGGCTTTCCCAGACATTTCGTACTGTGAATCAATTAAATCTCTTTCCTTTATAAATTACCCAGTCTCAGGTATTTCTTTATAGCAGTGTGAAAACAGACTAATATGCTCTATATGAAAAGCAAAGTGATTTTATCTATATAGTATTTGCTCAATAATTATCTTGCAATATATTTTGGCAGGCATAATCTCTTGAAAGTAATTGAGTTGCAAGAAAAATAATACCTCTGTATTTTTCCGTGTTCTTTTTGTTATGATGTATTGAGGGCTGTGTTTAATTCTTCTTTTTAAAGAATACAAATCTTTTTAGAAAACCAAATAAAGTTATGTTTTTAAGTAATGGTAGTTACTCTTGTTTATTAAAAGGCACAATATCTGTAAATTTTGATAATTTACTGTAGATCATACATTCCTTTTGACATTTCAAAAATAAACTAGACAATTTAATGTCTTAAAGTATCAAAATATTGAAATTGAAAATCCCTGCAACATATAAAACAGTTTTGGTAATTTTATTCTTTCTTTTTCTTAATTTGAAAGTTCTATTTAAATAATGTATTTTAGTGCAAAATATGAACACATATGATTTTTTTCACATATCATTTTTATTCAGAGCTCCACTGTATTGACTTAACTGACATATAATTAGCAGGGCTTTTTTCTTTTTTTTTTTATTATACTTTAAGTTCTAGGGTACATGTGCACAACGTGCAGATTTGTTACATATGTATACATGTGCCATGTTGGTGTGCTGAACCTATTAACTCGTGATTTACATTAGGTATTTCTCCTAATGCTATCCCTCCCCCCTTCCCCCACCCCATGACAGACCCCAGTGTGTGATGTTCTCCTTCCTGTGTCCAAGTGTTCTCATTGTTCAATTCCCACCTATGAGTGAGAACATGCAGTGTTTGGTTTTTTGTCCTTGTGATAGTTTGCTGAGAATGATGGTTTCCAGCTTCATCCATGTCCCTACAAAGGACATGAACTCATCCTTTTTTATGGCTGCATAGTATTCCATGGTGTATATGTGCCACATTTTCTTAGTCCAGTCTATCATTGATGGACATTTGGGTTGGTTTCAAGTCTTTGCTATTGTGAATAGTGCCACAATAAACATACGTGTGTATATGTCTTTATAGCAGCAAGCAGGACTCTTTTCTATAAGAGAAGCTCCTATTGACAGTAAGGTTAATATTAGAGATGCAAAATCAAACAAATAAGTTTTTTTCACAACCCATTTAATTAGCAAGAGGTTAAGTAGATCCATTGTCTTGTAAACATTTAAAAATTTATTTACTTTCATCATCTAAAATTTAAATGTATAGTTTATAATATTTAGGATATTGATGATTAAAAGTCCTTGTGGATTTTAATTCTCAAAATCTCTGTAATCCTTCTTATAGTAAGAACTTTATTGGACATAATTAGTATTCTGCTTACAATACAGAGGACCTGCTAACCTCTTTAAGCCAGGTATGATAGAACACTGTACAGTTATATTTGAAGTTATCTCTGAGTAAAGACTCTAAATAATTTTCAACCAAATAGATGGTGAATAATATGAATCAGTAGCTCATAACAAACGGTCAACTTTCAAGGCAAATATATATTTCTTGAGTGCCTGCTTTGTGCAAAGTTGCATTTTAGATTGTAAAGCTGTTTCTACTAAAATGAAATAGAGTAAATCTATAATGCTAAATCCAAAGGGGGATTCAAACAAAAGTGAACCAATGTGGTTATGCAAATATATGTGTTATGTTTGAAGATTAATTGTTGAGGAAGCAGTATTTGTGTCTATGTTTTTACTGTGAAGAGTCAGAGTAACTTGTACAGATAAGATAATTTTAACTTGGCTTTCCAAAAATAAAAAAGGCATTCACAGGTAGAAAAGATAAAGCATACATTTTCTAACGGTAAAAATAGCAAGTGGAAAGTTGTAGGGCTAGAACAATGAGTGGCGTGTTGAAAGAACAGAATCGTAACTGTGCCATAGGCTATGGAATGGGAAAATTATGAGAATGGAAGATGGTTTTAGCAAAATTATGAAAGACTGTGGATGTGAAGATAAAAGATACAGATTTTATTTGAGGAGGTTTTGCAGGTTTTTTAAAAAGGTGATTATATAATCTTAATTGAATTGTAAGAAGTTTGCATTACTGCTTGCAATGATGATACCCTGAAGACAAGGTGAGAGAAGTCAAGAAACTAAACTGGAAAACTGATGTGGAATAGAACATAATTTTTCTTTGGAAAGTAGGTCAAAAAGTGAACTGTATAGTCGAATATGTAATAAAAGACTTTTGGTTCCACTTTATTGTTTTTCTTTTCAACTTTATTTTAGGTTCAGGGGTATATATGTAGGTTTGTTACATAGATAAATTGCAGGTCACTGAGATTTGGGGTATGAATGATTCCATCACCCAGGTAGTGAGCACAGTGCTCAGTAGGTAGCTTTTCAACCCTCACCCTCTTTCCATCCTCTCCCGTCTAGTAGTCCTTAGTGTCTATTGTTCCCATTGTTATGTCCATGTGAACTCAATGTTTAGCTCCCACTTACAAGTGAGAACGTGCGGTATGTGGGCTTCTGTCCTTGTGTTAATTCACTGAGGATAATAGCCTCCAGCTGCATCCATTTTGCTGCAAAGAATATGATTTTGTATGACTGCATAGTATTCCATGGTGTATGCGTATGACATTTTCTTCATCCACTTCACTGTTGATGGGGATCTAGATTGATTCCACATCTTTGCTATAACAAATAGTATTGCAGTGAACATATGAGTGCATGCATTTTTTTACGATGATTTATTTTCTTTTGGGTATATAAAGAGTCGTGGGATTGCTGGGTCAAATGGTAATTCTGTTTTAAGTTATTTGAGAAATATCCAAACTGCTTTCCACAATGGCCAATTAGTTTACATTCCCAACAGCAGTATATAAGCATTCCCTTTTCTCTGCAATCTTGCCAACATCTGTTATTCTTTGGCTTTTTAAAAATAGCCATTCTGACTGTTGTGAGATGCTATCATACTGTGGTTATAATTTTCATTTCTCTAATGATCAGTAGTGTTGACCATTTTTTTCATAAATTTGGTGGCTGCATGTATGTCTTCTTTTGAGCAGTGTTTGTTCATGTCCTTTATCCATTTTAAAATGGGGTTGTTTTTTGTTTTTCGAATTGTTTAACTTAAAGATTCTGGACATTAAACCTTTGTCAGTGTATAGTACACTTTCTCTTATTCTGTAGGTTGTCTGTTTATTTCATTGATAGTTTCTTTTGCTGTGCAGAAGCTCTTTAGTTTAATTAGGTTCCACTTATCAATTTTTGTTTTTGTTGCAATTGTTTCTGGGGATTTAGTCATAAATTCTTTGCCAAGGCTGATATCTAGAATGGTATTTTCCAGGTTTTCTTTTACAGTGTAGGTCTGAAATTTACCTCTTTAACTCATCTTGAGTAAATTTTTGTATATCGTGTAATGTAGGGGTCTAGCTTCAAACTTCTGCATATGGCAAGCTAGTTATCTCAGCACTATTTATTGAATACAGAGTCATTTGCCAATTGCTTATTTTTGTTGAATTTCTTGAAGGTCAAATGATCATAGTTGTGCAGCTTTATTTCTGGATTCTGTATTTTATTCCATTGGTATGTGTCTGTTTTTGTACCAATACCATGCTGTTTAGATACTGTACCTTTGAAGTATACTTTGAGGTCAGACAATGAGACACCTCTAGCTTTGTTCTTTTGCTTAGAATTGCTTTGGCTATTTAAACTCCCTTTTATTGGCATATGAACTTTAGAATCACTTTTTTCTAATTCAGTGAAAAATGACATTGGTAGTTTGAAAGGAATAGCATTAAATTTGTAGATTGCTTTGGGCTTTATGGTCATTTTAATGACATTGATTCTTCCTGTCAGTGAGCATGGAATAATTTTCCATTCATATGTATCATACATGAGTTCTTTCAGCAATGTTTTGTAATTCTCCTCATAGAGATATTTCACCTCCTTGATTAGCTGTATTCCAAGGTATTCATGTGTGTGTGTGGCTATTGTATTAGGTTAGTGCAAAATTGCAGTTATTGTATCAGGTTAGTTCAAAAATTACTTTAAATGGCAAAAACCGCAATTACTTTTGCACCAACCTAATAAATGTGATTGCATTCTTGACATGACTCTCAGCTTGAATGCTATTGGTGTACAATAATGCTACTGATTTTTGATATTGATTTTGTATCCTGACACTTTACTGTAGTACTTTACCAGCTTTAGGGCCTTTTGACAGAGACTTTAGGCTTTTCTAGGAATAGAATCATACCTAGAAAATCAGTAAAATGACATAATTTAACTTCTTTTCCTATTTAAGTGCCTTTTATTTATTTCTCTTGCCTATGCTCTCCGACTAGGACTTCCAGTATAATGTTGAATAGGAGTGGTAAGAGTAGGCATCATTGTCTTGCTCCAGTTCTTAAGGGGAAAGATTCCAGTTGACGCCCATTTTGTATAATGTTGACTGTGGGTTTGAAATAGATGGCTTTGTTATTTTGAGGTATGTTCCTTTGCTGCCTACTTTGCTAAGGCTTTTTATCTGGAAGGAATGCTGGATTTTATCAAGAGCCTTTTCTTCATCTATCGAGATGATTATATGGATTTTGTTTTTAGTACTGTTTATGTGGTGAAATCTTTGCCAGATTTTGGTATCAGAGTGATGCTTGCTTTGTATAATGAGTTAGAGAGGGCTTCTTCCACCTCTGTTTTTTGGAATAGTTTCAGTAGGCTTGGTACCAGATCTTCTTTATATATCTGGTAAAATTCAGCTGTGAATCCTTCTGGTCCCAGACTCTTTTTTTGGTAGGTGTTTTTTTTTTTTTTTTTTTTTGGATTCAATTTCAGAACTCAATATTGGTCAGTTCAGGGTTTTTATTTCTTCCTGACTCAGTCTTTGCAGGTGGTGTGTTTCCAGGAATTTACCAATTTTCTCTAGATTTTCTAGTTTGTGTACATAGAGATGTTCATAATAGTCTCTGAGAATCTTTTGTATTTCCTTTAGATTGGTTGCAATGTCACCTTTGTCATTTCTGATTGTGCTCCTTTGGATCTTCTCTCTTTTTTTATTTGTTAATCTAGATGTGGCCTATCAATCCTCTTGTTTCCTTCAAAGAACCAGCTTTTGATTTTGTTGATCCTCTGTATGGATTTTTGGGTCTTAATATCATTCAGTTCTTCTCTGACTTTTGTTATTTCTTTGCTTCTGCTAGTGATATGATTTGGGTGTGTCCCCACCCAAATCTTGTCTTGAATTCCCATGTGTTGTGGGAGGGATCTGGTGGGAGGTAATTGAATCATGGGGGCAGGTCTTTTCCATGCTGTTCTCGTGATAGTGAATAACTTTCATGAGACCTGGTAACCACTTATAAGAAGGAGTTTCCCTATAGAAGCTTTCTTTCTGCCTACTGCTATCCATTTAAAATGTGAATTACTCCTCCTTGCCTTCTTCCATGATTTTGAGGCCTCCCAAGCCATGTGAAATTGTGAGTCCATTAAATCTCTTTTTCTTCCCAGTCTCAGGTATGTCTTTATCAGCAGCATGAAAACAGACTAATACAGCTAGCTTTGGGGTTAGTTTGTTCTTGCTTTTTTCTAATTACTCTAGGTGCAATATTATATTGTTAAATTAAGGTCTTTATAATGTCTTAATTTAGATATTTAGCATTATAAACTTTTAACACTGATTTAGCTGTATCCCAGATATTTTATTATGCTGTGTCTCTATTTTCATTTATTTCAAAGATTATTTAAAATTTCTGCCTTAATTTTATTGTTTACCCCAAAATCATTACAGAGCAAGTTTGTTAATTTCCATGTAATTGTGTGGTTTTCAGGGAGTTCCTTGGTATTGATTTCTATTTTTCTTCCACTCTGTGCTGAGACTATGGTTAGTATGATTTTGATTGTTTTCAATTTATTTGGACTTGCTTTATGGCCAAACATGTGGTTGAACTTACATACGTTCCATTTGCAGATGAGAAAAACATGTATTCTGTGGTCGATGGATGGAGAGTCCTGTAAGAATCTATTAGGTCCAATTGGTCAAGTGCCAAATTTAAGTTTAGGATTTCTTAGTTTTCTGCCTCAATAATGTGGCTGTCATTGCCAGTGGGGTGTTGAAGTCCCTCACTCTTATCTTATGTCTGTCTAAGTCTTTTTGTAGGTCTAGAAGTACACACTTTATGAATCTTGGTGCTTCAATGTTAGGCACATAATATTTAGGATAGTTAAGTCATTTTGTTGGATTGAACCATTTACTATTATGTAGTGCTGTTCTTGTCCTTGTCTAATGTTGTTGATCTAAAGTCTATTTTATCTGATATAAGAATAGTGATCCAAGCTTTCTTTTTTTCTGTTTGCATGACGGATCTCTCTCTAATCCTTTACTGTGAGTCTCTGGGTGTTATTACATGAGAGATGGGTCTCTTGAAGACAGCAGACATACAGTTATTGTTGTTTTTTACCCAATTTGCCACTCTGTGCCTGTTAAGTGGGGTGTTAAGGTCATTTACATTCAATGTTAATATTGATGTGTGAGGTTCTGTTCTATCATGAAGTTGTTAGCTGGTTGTTTTGTAGTTCCTATTGTGTAGTTGCTTTAAAGGGTCTGTGGGTGATGTACTTGACCGTGGTTTTGTGGTATTCTTCTTTCATCTCCATGTTTATAATTCCCTTAAGGATCTCTTGTATGCCTCATCTAGTGGTAATAAATTTCCTTCACAATTCTTTGTGTGAAAAAGTTTTTATTTTTCCTTTCCTTATGAAGCTTAGTTTGGTGGGGTATACAATTCTTGGTTGGAGCTTCTTATCTGAGAATGCTAAACATAGGCCCACAGTCTCTTCTGGATTGAAGGGTTTCTTCTGAGGAGTACACTGTTAGCCCTAGGGAGTTCCCTTTGTAAGTGATCTCAGCTTTTAAGATTTTTTCTTTAGCCTTGACCTTAAACAGTCTAGAGACTACATGGCTTGGCGATGTTCATTTTGTGTTGTATCTTACAGGTGTTTCTGGATTTCTTATATCTGAATGTCTACCTTTCTAGGAAGATTAGGAAAATTTTCTTGAACTATTCCTTCAAATACGTTTTCCAGATTGTTTACATTTTTCCTTCTCCTTCAAGAATGCTAATAATTAATAGGTTTGATTGCTTTACATAATCCCATATTTCTCGCAGATTTGTTCATTTTTATAATTCTCTTTTAAAATTTTTGTCTGAATGGCTTAGTTCAACAGACTGGCCATCTAGTTCTGAAATTTGTTTTCTGCTTGTTCTAGTCTATTGACAAAGCTTTTAGTTGTATTTTGAAATTCTGCAAGTGAGTTTTTCAGTTCCAGTAGCTCTGATTGATTTCTTTTTAAAATGTTTACCTTTTCCTTTATTTCTTGGATTGCTTTACAGGTTTCTTTGTCTTAATTTTCAACCTTATCTTGGAGCTCATTGAGTTCTGTGATCCATGCTTTGAATTATCCGTCTTTTATCTCTATACCTACATTTTGGCTTGGCATCATTGCCAGAGAGTTAGAGTGAGGCTTCGGTTGTCACACATTCTGATTTTTTTTAGTGGCAGAAATCTTACGCTGCTTCTTTCTCATCTGGAGAGTGTTGCATTGGGTAGGGTATTTTGGCTTTGCTTCTGTAGTCCTCTGCACTTCTGGCAGCAGGTTTTGTATTGGGCTGTGTGGTCCAACCTATAGGCCAGTAGGTGATATTTGCAATAAGAGCCAACTGCTGCATAAGCAGGTATGTATGAACTTGATCATTGTTTACTGTGAGGTAATTTCTTTAGTTTCAGGTGAAGGGCTGAACAGTGGGGTGTTCAATATCCTGTACTGTTGAGATGGCAGGACACAGCTAGGCAGAGCTGGAGCCCCTCACTTGCCCATGCATATCCCAGTGGTGAGTGTAGGCACCTGCCATGATGAGGGTGGCTGGGTGAAATTCCTGGTGAAGTGCGCTGAGGAGGCTGCCACAGCTCCCTGTCCTAGAAAGGCAAGAATGAAATCTGTTTCCCTATGGCACCCCTGTTCCAGGTCCCTTGACTCCTAGTTCAGATGCATACCAGAGTCTATCTCTGGGCTATAATATGGTTGAAACCAACAGGGAATGCCTGTTTTGTGACTCTTTATGGGAGTGGTTTCATGGCATAACCCCATCACTCAACCCGATATAGATACCTTTAAAGCTTGCCTGTTCTTCGATGTGGCAGGATCACCGCTTCTCGTAAAGGGAAGGAGGGCTCCATCTTTGCACTCATGTGAGCTTGCCAGTGAGTGTTGGTTGTCATGGTGTCAGCTGAGTGGGTTGGCCCAACCTCAGACCCTGAGGGAACAGGACAGGTGCTAACAGAGTAGGTTGTTCTCCAGTTCCCAGGCTTCCAAATGGCCTACTGGACAGTGTGTATGAGTCCTGAGGGGGCTGGACTCGGGTTGGGTTAGCACAGAGTTCAGGTGTTGGCTGTTGTGAAGTTAGGAGGGGTGGACTGTTCCCTGGGTCACCAGCCAACCTCTCAGGCAGGGGCTGGTAGAACACTTAGGCAGTGGGATCCTAATTATCATAGTCTTGTAGGGGCTGGGTTTTCAGAAGGGCCCTGGGATGCAGGTGAAATGTTCAGGCAAGGGCAGGATGGTTGTGCTGTAAGACTTTCATTGGAGAAGGTGGGATCCCTGAGCTGGCGCAGTGGAGATTGTTGGCTGTGGGGTGCCTGGCACACTCACACTTCTCTTTCACTCAAATGATGCCCAGCTTTACTGTTGAGGGCATGCAAAAATGCCAAGCATTGTGTTACCCCTGAGAGTTTTGTTCCGTGGAAACACAGACACATAACCCACTGTAGTGTTCGGGGGAGGGGTGGGGTCATTGTGCTTGAAGCGCAAGCCATGGAGCCTTGACTGGTTGGCAGCAGTGGGGCTGTGGGGGGTTGGCGGTCCCAGTCTGCAGCCTGGGCGTTCCCTGGGGCAATGGAGGGCTGTGCCTGCCAGCACAGTTCAGGCACGGGGAGGGTCACTGTGGTGCTAGAAGCCAAAGCTGGCTAGCCTTGCTTGGCTCAGAGCAGGGATTCACACTACCATCTGGGAGGTTTCCTAAGAAATGTCAAGCTGTACCCACTGGCAGAGTTCAAGCAGGAGTGGGGTCACTGCGCTGGACACCCAAGACAAACTTCCTGGCAAAGAGAAGCACAGCAGTCTGTCTGCTCCTCAGCACCGTAATTGTGGCCTCTATCAGAGCTATGGCAGTGGGCACCTGGCTGCTCAGGAATCCCAGACCTGTGGGGATCCACTTGGGGGACTCTCACTCACTCACCCTCTCCCTGTTGTCAGGAGTTTCACCAGGCCCCACGCAATTACGGGTAGGTGGCTGCTGCCTGGCTTTGCTACTGTCAGCAGACAGCAGCAAAGTAGCTAACCCGACAGTAGCTAACCCGACCCAGGTCCAGCCCCCTCAGGACTCATATACACTGTCCAGTGAATTGGGATTCACATTGGGTGAATCCCAATGTGGTCTCTTAGACAAACCACTTGAAGAATTACTATTTACTCTCCACTTTGTTTTCTCTCTGCAAGAGTGGCACACTAGCTGCTTCTAGTCAGCCATCTTGAACTTTGTTCTCCTTTATATCAAAGCAAGATCAAAAAGAAATGCCTTACTTATCTTCTCTCCTTTCCTACTCTGTCACCTGAAAAATACATTATTTACTCTTCTTTATCAAACATGTGTATACTGACAGTACAATTAGCCCCAAATGATCTTTCCCATTGATCCACCTGCTTGATTTCAATCAGGTAGCTTAGTACCAAGGAACACAATGTATGTCACCTTTAACCTGGGTGGGTCATTCTTAGTGTGATTCAGCATAGGTGACTAATCTTAATTCTGGACCACTGGAAATGTCCTGAAATAATAAACACTGGCATAGCATCTGTCTATGTCAAGTCCAACTGAATGTTTCTGCTTCTGCTATTTTGTGAATTACCACATATTAGTAACACATATTAATTTCAATTAAATCTTATTAATATCTAGCATATGTACAACTACAAGTAATGATATTTTTTTCTTTTTTTTTTATTATACTTTAAGTTTTAGGGTACATGTGCACATTGTGCAGGTTAGTTACATATGTATACATGTGCCATGCTGGTGCGCTGCACGATAATTTTATTTTCAAATAAAATTTGGAGAAAGGAGGTAATCTAATGACCAGTAGAATGTAGTTCTATTTCTGTTTAATTGTAGGGACAAATGCCATCCTTGGAAATCTTTTTTACGATTATAGTTTGATTACATTATTATCTTATTTGATCATTATCAAGAAAAGATAATCACAATAAATATTATTCAGGAATAATTATGCAACAAACACTGAGTTATTAAACTATAATTATACTCATTTTGTAGCTAAATAACTTGAAACATGTAGAGATGTAATTATTACTAGAAATCACATTTCAGGAAAGTGGGAGAGTCACTCAGGAACCCTGTTCTTTCTCATACTGAATTCCAGACTTAGAGGCATTCTTTGATAGTGCATTTTAAATATTTTATTATTTCCATTCTAATTTCTAAATCTCACAATGCTTTTCATTGCACCGTTCAGGCTGGTTTTACTAGCTGCCTTTCTATAAAAATAATGTTAAATATTATCTCTATCTTGTGTTATCTCATTGTAATTTTGTAATCTTAGTATTAGTCTGCTTAAAAATACACCCAGTTTTGGTAATAAAGATACTGACGATGTTAAAAGTAAAAGTTACCATTTACTGGTCAGTTAACACATGCTAGGGTCTATCTTAAATTGATTCTCACACAATTCAGAGCAGTTAAAATATATAGAGGCAGAAAGATGAATGACTGTGTGAGAATATGAAGAATTTCTCTCTGCCTGGAACAATTTCTTTCACAACACCTGCAATGTGATTACAACACATTCTTCAAGTTTCAACTTAGAATTTACTGCTCCATGTAGACTTTCAAGTCCCCATATCAATTCCTGACAATGCATGGCTATGTACCCCGACCTATATGTTCCCTTTTATCCTTTATCATAACACTATGAACTATGTAAGTATAGGAACTTGTTCATCATTGCATCCTATTTTTAGCAATAATGCTGTTTAATTTGAACAATAAATGAACTAATTATTGGAACTTAATTTCTCCCACCTCCACATTCTTTTGCATTTGAACTAGAAGGAATCTCTAGTTTAATCCTGGCGGGTGCTTTTGGTGGCTGAAAAAACATTCTCTGAGTCTGTCTATGATTTCAGGCCAAAAGTGGTAGACAGTTCTTACTTCCATTGACAAAGTCCTACCTAAACATAATGTGTTTGCATTTCTACTTTTTGGACCCTACAGTTTCTCTAAAGTCTTAAAAATGATCAGCTCATGTAAAAGCACATCATGGAAATAAGGGAGAGTTAACTCCCATCAGAGCAACTAACAATTTAAACAGTAAGAATCTTCAGTTAATAACTCGACTTCCAACCTGTTCCACAGACAATTTCTGGCAGGCTTTCTGTAAGCTTCTCTGAAGTCCTGGAGTAATATTGCTTAATTCTAAATCAGTGCCTTTTATAAAATACCCTGATATTGGCTTTGTCTCCATTGTATTTCACATCCCATGCTTTTTCACTCTTGTTCTTTAGAAACAAATCCAAATAACCTGTACTCAATTCCTTGCTTCAAACTGAGACCTTCAGAAACTATAAAAATCTATTGATCACTAGATTTCTAGATTCATTCAGGTTTTTCCTCCAAAGACAACTTTTCCTCACTCCTCTCTGAACTTGAATCATTAGCCTGCTTTCTACTTTTAGATTGCTATGACATATAGCATGACAAGATGTAATACTAATATAGCAATGATAGATTCCATTTCTGTGTCTATTCTTCCCAGTCTTTCTGCAGTTCCTCTACTAATTTTAAGTTTACACAATGACTACCTCTTCATACTCAATCTCCTTGTAATGCTGTAGGTCTCAACTTACTCATTATACCATAGCCCTTATTCTAGATACTGAGATGAAATACCTAGAGACCAAGGAAAGGTTGAGTTGGAATTGCTTTGAATTGCAATGAATCTTAATTCAGAAGCATATTATTATTGTTATTTAAAAACATCTCTTACCTATTAATTTATCTTTATGTCCTTTTTCTCCTAATGCATCAAATATATATATAAATATATATATATATATATATTCTGATATATATATATTTACATTCTGTATGTTTATATGTTCATATTATATATGGGGATAAATATATATCCTCATTTCTTACCCTATTTTCGATTACTATATCCCCATTATTATATGTAATACCCCCCTTCATCTCAAGGGTATGGAATCTTTGGCTTTAAAGTAGGAGAGTTTGGAAAAATACTGTCTTCTTATTTGGGGTAGTAAAAAGATGGAGAAAAAATAAGCTTAGAAAAATACATAATAAACGTAAGAAAGGAAGAAAAACTCATCTCTAAAGAAATGGGGGGATAGAAAATGAATAACTGTGAATTCTTCCAAGATGATTATTGCATTCAGGGGCTTCCTCTATGAGAAAGTATCAATTCCAGCAGGTTCTTATGCCCTGGGATGTCACATTTCATTAAGTATTTTTCAGCTTGTGTAAAAAATATTGTTTTTGTTTCTGTTCATGTACTGAATTGCAGTGAGTGAATTTCAAGGAATAAATCATTTGCTAAACTAGAATCAACCAATTTGATTATAATGCATTATGTTTTTAAAAATATCTTTGTAATTGAGTTGCTAAAATTTTTGTTTTGATATGTTCCTTCTATGGTCAAGACAATTAGTTTTCTTCCCTTTTTACTCTTAATATTTTAGTCAAACTATACTGACTTCATAAACTCAGTTGAAAAGCATTGGTATTTTTTTAATAACGTGGAAGATTTTGGTAAAATTGGTATTGATTTCACCTTAAATGGTGGAAGAATTTATGAGAAAAGATTAAAGTGGTAAAACATTTCTTTTTGGGAAGTTTTTTTTTATTCCCATTCTCTTTATAATAACTTTGCATGAGTAGTATTAAAAAGTTTTGTTTTGTTTTTTAAATATAGGAATTAGTCCTGATCCTATGGGAAGTTACATAATAGTATATATTTAATAATATAGGCATACATATAAGATAATCTATATCTCTAGCACACATCTGGTCAATGTATCCTTTGTCAAAGTCTAGTGATATATTTCTACACAGATTCTGTTCTTACCATTTTTTCTAAGCTTATTCAGCTTTTTATTTGTTGTCCTCTTTTGGACATAGAAATCTCTCCTCAAGTATGAAGTCATTCTAAAACTTTTTCTTTCTGTTTATCCATAACAAATACATCCATAAATTAACTGTCATTATGCCTACCACAAACAGGGTATCAATATTACCTGTCCACAATTTATGGTAAAGCTAAAATGATACACTTTCTTGAGAGCATTCATGAATTATCCTCAGTATCACATAAAGAATATTTACCCATTCTCACATTAATCTGTGACAGAATTCAATGGGAGAGAATTCTTGGAAAAAAGAGATTTTCAGAGAAGTAATTGTCATTGTAACTATGCCAGAGGGCATAAGAGATAATCATATCATTCGATCAGCAACTATAAAAGTGTGTGTGTGTGTGTGTGTGTGTACGTATGTATATATTTCATTTGTATAGCAACTCATAAGGGTAAAGTGTATATACCTAATTGTAAAGATACATGATATATTTTTGTTATTTTATAACTGAGGCCTGCTAAGAGCATTTAGAGTGAAGCAATTACTGACATGGATTTGTTTGCAACATAAAAAATGTTTTTTTTTAAAAAAGGGAGAAATTCTCAAGGCTGTTTGTTGGAAAAAGTACATATTCACTCATGAATCAATGGAGTTAAATGAGTTTTAGTAAAAAAGACTTTGAGAATATATGGAATCTCAATCACAATATAAAAAATAAATGTTTTCTTCAAAAAATGAATTAATTTTAGTTAAGTGTCATACTTATATTCTTACATACTTTAAGGTCATATAATTTAGAATTCAAAATTTCAGACAGTTCTATTTTGAAATGGTGAGAGAAGTCACTACCTTCAATGAAAACTAGAGGAGGACAAACTTCTCTGAGTGCTGCGCTTTCTCTTCCTTCCCCCTTAATAACCAGAATCAGTTTAATAATATTTAAACTGAGTAAATCTTCCAGGAATGCTTTTCTTATTTATACATCTCTCCTATCAATTAGCTGACAAAAAGCAATACTGCTTCTGGAATTTCACAAGGGTAATACTATAAAACAAAATGAGGGAAAGATTGGCTATTTTCTTTTCCCTTTTAATTTTACTTTTTCATTTATAATGTTTCCAATTTGATAACTTATGGAGTCTGTAAAATGGACCTGTGTGTAAGTCTTGGTATTTCCTATTTGCCACAAGCTTTCTTCTTGAATGTAGTGTTTGTCCCTGTTTAATAGCATTTTAAATCATTTTTTCTGGCAAAATAAACCTGTACATGTAGGGAAACAGATATAATTTTCGTATTACCAGTTGGTGAACTGGGGAAATCGGTCCAGCTCAAGGTCATAGTAATTACAGTCAAAGCACACACATAAAAGAAGAATCTCCTACAAGTTGATTTTGAGAGGCTAATAAAGCATATCTACAGTATTTTGTAAACTGCAAGACATGATACTTTAAATATTCTTATTATAATACTCATATTAAGAAACATTCTCAAATATAAATCATAGATGAATTGTTTCAAATAAAGTGTGAGTTTATGCCTCCATTTTATTTGTGTTATTTTATTTGTGCAAATAAAGAACTATGTTTACTTTCCTTTTGCTTATGTGCTTAAACAATTATAAGTTAGAGATTAATTTACAAATTAATCACAAACAAAATAACCAAAGCAGTAAAATTCTATCTAATTAACAATCTTAACTGAGTGTAATGGATTGCTTATATTACTGAGCTGGAAATAAATCACCGATTTTGTTTTTAAATTAGAAATATAATGTGCCAGATTTTGTTCTATAATTAATGTTTTTTCCTCTTTTACTTCAATACTACTTATGTAGAGTTCACTGATTTACAATCTATGTTATACAATATGTACCTGAAAATATTAAGACTTTGTTTTCCTATTATAATCAGACCTCATATTTATCTAACACTCAACTAATGAACATTTGTCACTTTAAAGGTGTGTCATTTATTATAATGCCATCTTACTCTCTTAAATATAAGATTAACCCTGCAGTTTAATGAATTCTGAATTGAATAAACATGTAGTCCAATAATTGTTAGAACAGAAAAAATACTCCTGGCATATTTATTAAAACTTCTGGAGAGAATATTTCAGGAAATAATGTGCAAATAGGTGATTCAAATATATGGAGATATCTGTTGAAAATGGGCTATAATACTATCTCTTGCTTTGAATTCTGCTGCCTACACCAGAGTGTACTCTGTGACAACCCAGCTCCCTTGATTTTTTGTATTATTTAAATTACTGAAAGTCTTAGTTTGCAAAAAGCACTAGGTCATTTGGCTTTAACTTTACAAACATATGATTGTTAATATAGAAATATTAGTCATAAAAATTAGCAATCTTCAGTTGAACAACGTGGTACAGAACATGTTTTTTGGTGTTTATTAAATTACGAATTGAACACCACAAATTCAACAATCTTAGAGTGAATCAAGAATCACAGGAGCATTTTCAAATATGCTGATAGTCCTCAAGTTGAAAAATTTTGCCATTCTGTCTCATAGCAGAAGAAATGGTTTATGAAACAATTTTGAGGAAAATAATCAACAGCCCTTTCTTGTTTTCATCACCATCATCATTATCATCATTTTTATCCTCACAGTTATTTTGAAATGTACTAACTTGATCTCTGCGTATGTATACTGTTCTTGAGAATTCTAATTTTCTAATTTCAGATGATGAAACTTTCTTTTCTTTGAATAATCAATTTCCCCTAATTGAATAAGTTAATTCAAATTATTTACTTCTGAATGTATATATTCTCCACAAATATTCTTATCATAATGATAATAATTATACTCACTTGAAAAGCAATCAAAATATTACAAACTACTTTCAGAGTGGAAGATTAAAATATGATAGTTTCTACCTTTTCTTCACAAGGTAGGTACTTATAGAGGATTGCTTATTTTGATGAATTGGTTCCTGAAATACAATTATTTAGAAATAAATAAACATACATATTTTATAGAGAAAGTGTATCATGCAAATATAATGAAATCAAATGAGTTTTCTAAGAAAAAGAATACTGTCTGGCCATTGCTTTTTAAATCTAGTAAATATTTGTGTCCATTTTTTAAAGAAAAAGAAGAATAGCTGTAATTGAATATGAAGTTTACTGGTACAAGTATTTATAAAGAATAATTGTGAATAGACAATTGATCATACATATCTACTTGTGCTGTACTTTTAAAATAGTTATTACAGGAAAGTGTTTTTCAAGATGGTTGACCAGAGACATTGTATGCCAGTTCTCCTGAAAAAGGACATAATTTACCAGTGAATAATTGTAACTTAAATGTAATATTGAGGGGATAATGCTTGAGCATGTCAGAGAACTCACAGAAAGAAGCTGAGGCACAAAAAAAGGAGCAAGAGTTAAGCAGAGATTGAACCCCAGTGAAATTGAAGTCCCATGGAAAGGGTAGGTGGGGGTGTTTTTGGCTCCCCTCATTCCTGTGGCAGACTGCTGGTTCTGAAATGTTGGATAGTTGCTTTGCCCTTGTGAGTCCAAGTGCTGGTGAAGGTGGTAATTTGGTAACATCTTTAGGGTATACCAGGCTGCCTGGTCACACAGTGTCACTCTTCTTCCTTCTACACACAAGCTGTTGGGGTGGGCATGATACTTGATTTGCACTCGTTTTAAACCTCTTTCCTGACCAGGGAATCTCAGTCATGTGTCTCCTCATCACTGGATCTTCCATGAATATTCTCCGGCACATGTTTCAACTGCAGTAGTCACGATGAGCCAGCAGGACCCAAGGCAGCTGTGGGATTCCTGGTGTTCTGACTCTTGGAACAGGCTACTCCTAGGGGAAGGAAGACTGCAGCCACCAAAGCAGCACCCTTGGGACAAAGAAAATGGAAGTGTGTGCTCTCCTGTGCCTCAGAGGCCCCTGCCTGTGAAAAGAAGGTGACTGTGACCCTTTCAGTGGAGACACAGGTGCTGTACTGGGCTCTGTGGAGAAGTATGGTTTGTCCCCAGCAGCCAGGTGGCACAGGTGCTTGCACACAGACATAGAGAGGGGGATTCCTCCTCTACACCCACCCACCTCTGCGATGCAGCCATGGCTGTATCCATGTGGGAATGACATAAATGTGCCTATGGATGTCCATTCCATGGCTAATGGGGGACCTGAACCCCCACTGGCAGTGTGTTCACTAGGCCTGGGTTTGCACAAAGGGTGGAGTCCCTCCCTATTTCTCCATGGAGCAGCAGCATTTCTACAGCAGAGATCAGGTGAGACATAAGGTTGTCTGTTTCAGGCTGAGAGAAGAGATTCTGACCCAAGGTCATGTCAGTGGAGAGCTGCAAAACAGGTGTTTTTTGTGACCATCAGCTACAATGCAGCCTGGGGACAAATGCCAGTATCCGTCTAAACTAAAAATCTGAGCCATGGGACGTGGTTGTGATAGGAAGGCAAATCACATTCCTGCTTGCCAAGGATGTGAAGCTGGTACGACCCCCTCCCCTCTCTGCAAAGACCTTGACGCAATGCACACTGAGCTCTCATTGCCACTCCCAGTAGGGCTGGTGCTTGTACTCATCATTGAGGTATCTGAGAGTGAGCTTGAGGGTCCATTTCTACCCAGTTTTGCCCCAGCTACAGGGCTGAGCATTATATACAGGTCATCACCGGACATACTACAGACCAGCCCATCACCTGAGACAATGGAGAGCTCCCCACTGTAAACAACAATCAAGCACATACTCATCTGCTTCTGCCTCAGCCAGCTCTTACATAATAAGCCTCACCTCCTGATGTGGAGGTTGAACTGCAAAACCTAATACAAAATCTGCTGAGAGAACCGCAGAGCACCCTCAGATGAGATGAGATTCCTGAGATCTCCACAATCCCAGTTCTACAGAAAATAGTAATCCTCCTAATATGCCCAGTACATCACTCCTACTAGCAACATTTTAGAAAGACACTGAACAAAGGCTATCTAACACCAAGGAACTCAGAGCCTTTGGCCTCCTGCAAGCACCAAGAATTAAAGTTACACACCATCAAAAAGATGCATGGCACTCACAGCTTAAATGAAGGGAAAAAGAATCCCATCCAAATGAAAGTAAATTCAAAAAGAAGTGACAGCTTCTAGAGATGAAGAGAAACCAGGGTAACCTTTTTGGCAGCCTGATAAAACAGGGTGTTCACAACACCTGTAAGGGATCTTACTGGCCTCTAACAATGGAGCCTTATCAAAATGAAAATTCTTAAATGCCACATAAAGAATTCAAAATATGGATTGTAAGGAAGCTCAATGAGATTCAAGTAGAAGTTGAAAACTAACATAAAGAAATCAGAAAAAAAAAGTCAGGCTATCAACAAAAAAATTACTAAAGAGATGTATATTTTTTAAAAAGAAATTCTGAAAATGAAAAATCACTGAAGAAATTACAAAATATAGCTGATAGCTCTAAAAATAGGTTTAACCAAGCAGAAGAAAGAATTTCAGAGCTTGAAGATCAGTCTATTGATTTAACCCAGTGAAAAAAAATAAAGAAAATGACTTTTTAAAAATGATCAAAGCCTTTGAGAAATATAGGGTTATGTAAAGCATCAAAATGTATGAGTAATGAGTATTTCTGAGGGAGAAGAAGGACAAGTAGAAAGTCTGAAAAACCTATTTGAAGGAATAATTGAGGAAAACTTCCCAGGTCTTCCTAGAGATTTAGGCACCCAGACAGAAGCTCAGTTTATAAGCCCTAAGTACAAGATATAGATTGGCAGAATGGATTAAAAAAACTAATCATATGTTGCTTGCAAACAATGCACCTAACTAGTAATTATAGACTCAAGGTAAAGGGGTTAAAAAATACATTTCATGCAAACAGAAACCAAAAGCGAGCAGAAATTATCTATGCTGATTTAAAAACAAAAAAACAGACTTTAAATCAACAACAGTAAAAAAGACAAAGAATGCCATTATATAATGATAAAGGGGTCAATTCAATAAATAGACGTAAAAACTCAAGAAATACATATGTACCTAATACCAAAACACCCTAATTCATGAAACAAATACTACTAAATCTAAGAATGAAGATAGACATATTTTCATTGTGGGGGATGTCAACACCCACCTTACAGCATGAGATAGATTATTGAGGCAGAAAATCAACAAAGTAACACCAGACTTTATTGGACTCTAGACTAAATTGAACTAACAGATTTTTACCAAACATAGCAAACAACTGTAGAATATACATTGTTCTCATCAGTGTACAGAACATTCTTCAAAATAAACCATATGTTAGGCCACAAGAAAGTCTTAATACATTTTTAAAAATTGAAATCATGTCAAGTATCTTCTTGGACCACAGTAGAAAAACACATGTAGAAGTCAACATCAAGAAAAACACTCAAAATTATACAAATACATAGAAATTAAACAGCCTGCTCTTGAAGGATCTTTGGAACAACAAGAAAATTAATATGAAAATCAAAAACTTTTCTGAAATGCATCAAAATAGAGAAACAGCATACAAAAATAACTGGAGTATAGCAAAAGCAGTGCTAAGAGAAAACATTAGAGTGATAAACGCCTAAATCAAAAAGAAAGAAATATCACAAATTAACGAACACCATACCTCAAAGGACTAGAAAAAAGGACAAATTAAGCTCAAAGCTAGCAGAAGAAAAATAACAAAGATCAGAGCAGAATTAAATTAAATGGAGACAAAAAAGGATCAATGAAACAGAAAGTTGATTTTTTTAAAGGATAAACAAAAAATTGAAGACCACTAGCTAGATTAACCAAGGAAAAAAGAGAGAGGATTTAAATAAGACTGATCAGAAATGAAAAAGGAGACATTACAACTAATATCATATAAACACAAAAGACCATCAAAGACTACTATGAGCATCTCTACACACACAAACTAGAAAACTCAGAGGAAAGTGTTAAACTCCTGGAAGCATACAACCTCTCAGGATAGAACCAGAAAGAAATAGAAATATTGAAAAGACCAATAATGAGCAGTGAAAGTGAATTGGTAACATAAAGTCTCCCAGCCAAAAAAAGCCCAGGACCAGGCAGATTCGTGGTGAAATCTATTGATACGAACTGTACAAGGAACAGGTACCAATTCTGCTGAAACTGTTTCAAAATATCAAGGAGAAAAGAATACTCTTAAGTCATTATATAAAGGCAGCATTATCCTGATACTAAAGTCAGGCACACACACACACACTCACACACACACACACACACACACACACCCCTACAGGCCAATATCATTAACGAACCTAGATGCAAATACCCTCGACAAAATACTAATGAACAACAGCATATTAAAAAATTAATACACTATGATCAAGTGAGTTTTATTCCATGGATGCAAGGATGGTCCAACATATGCAAATCAATGAATACGATTCACCACATAAACATAATTAAAAACCAAACTATGTAATCATCTCAATAGATGCAGAAAAAACATCTGATAAAATTCAGCATTGCTTCACAAAAAAACAAAACTCAAAAAACTATGCATAGAAGGAATCTACCTCAAAATAATAAAAGCCATATATGACAAACGTATAGGCAATGTCATATTAAAAGGGAAAAAGTTGAAAACATTCCCCTAAGAACTGGAGCAAGATAAGGATGGCCACTTTCACCATTCCTATTCATCAAAGTACTGGGAGTCTTTGTTACAGCAATCAGGCAAAAAAAAAAAAAAAAAAAAAAAATTAAAAAACATCCAAACTGGAAAAGAGGAAGTCAAAATATCTCTGTTTGCTGATGACATAACCTTGTACCTAGAAAGCCCCAAAGACTCCTCCAAAAGTCTCACAGACTTGATAAATGATTTCAGCAAAATTTAAAGGCACAAAATCAACCTAGAAAAATCAGTAGCATTTCTATACTCCAATAACGATCAAGCTGAGAACCAAATCTAGACCTTAATCCCATTTCCAAAAGAAACCAAACCTAGAAATACATTTAATTATAGAGTTGAATGATTTCTACAAGGGAAAATACAAAACACTGTAGATGACACAAACAAATAGAATAGCATTCCATGTTCATAGATGGGAAGAATCAACACTATTAAAATTACCTTATTGGCCAAAACAATCTACAGATTCGATGCAATTCCCAGCCAGTCACTAATGCCATTGTACACAGAGTTTGAGAAAACAATCCTAAGTTTGTATTGAACTATAAAAATGCCCAAATAGCTTTGCACTGCCATGGAGTATTACTCAGCCATTAAAAAAAGGAATAAAATCATGTGTTTTTCAACAACATGTATGGAACTGGAGACAATTATCCTGAGTGAAATAACTCAGAAACAGAAAGTTGAATATTGTGTGTTCTTACTTATAAGTGGAAGCCAAAGAATATGTACACATGGACATACAGAGTGGAATATTAGACACTGGAGATTCCAAAATATGGGAGAGTGAGAGTGAGGTAAGAGAGGAAAAATTACCCATTGAGTACAATCTACACTATTCCTGCCATGAGTACGCTAAAAGCCAAGACTTCACCACTACGGAGTGTATCTATGTAACTAAACTGCACTTGAATCCCCTAAATCTATAAAAATAAAAATATATATTACAAGATTAACATATGAATTGAATTATGATATACCAATGATACTAAGGCAGAATAATACTGAGAAATGAAATAAAATTACAGTTCAAAAAATCTATGCAAATAGTTTTTATATTCTTTAGGATAGTTGTAACATTACGAATATTTACAGAGGAGGGACTTCTTTGCATATTTTTGTCCATTATATAGAGGAAGAAATTGAGAGTCAAAGGTATCTCACCAAGGTAGGCGTTGAGTAACTTGGGACATAATTTTAGTTTTCTTTAGTATTTTCTGGTTGTTTCTTCCATTCAGTTGGACAAAATTTTCAACCAGTAGCTAGAAAATGGAATTAAAATATTATTTTCTTTTAAACACTACATCTATTTTAGCTATTTGACCATAATTATACTCGTAGCATGTACTTCCCAATTTCTTCATCTTAAAATGGGAATACAAAACTAACTCAGATAGTTGTAAAGATTGAAGGAGATAATATACATATACATTTATTGGAGAGTTTATCATGCAGTTAAAATTTATGAAAGGTAATAATAGTAGTAATGGTATTTTTATTTCAATTCTCATTCAATGACAAGCCTGCTTGTATTTCTTGTGCTTAATGTTTATGGTTTTAATTTATATTTTAAGAAAGTCTTAGGCAACTATATTAATAGACTTATAGAATGGTATTCGTTCTAATGCAGAAATATTTTATTTGATTCTAGTTTTGCTTTGTTTGGTTTCCTGTTGTAGATATATCTTGTTAAATTTTAGACACATTGGGAAACTAGTGTAAAAATGTGGTTGTCAGCAAAAAATAAGATGAAGTTTTTTTTGAAGGATGGGAAGTGTTCATAGATGGGAAGAATCAACACTATTAAAATTGCCTTATTGCCCAAAACAATCTATAGATTCGATGCAATTCCCAGCGAGTCACTAATGCCATTGTACACAGAATACATTAGGAGAGAATATAAAACATTGAAAAAATACAGGATTATTGATAATGGGAAGATTAAGATCAATAGGGAGATTAAGAATGCATGCTAGGAATGAAGTTTCCTGACTTGAAACCAAGTAAGTTTTTCTTCTGAAGCTCTGAGGTTGGGAACTTTGTCTACTCTGGGGTAATTGTCCTGGGTGGCCACAGGTGGATGGTTTTCCATGGTGAGCATCACAGTTCCTAGATGTAGATGGGTAGATCTGCTCGATGTGATTTTTCAAGCCTTGATGACCTTAAATTACACAACACGCTGTCTCGGATGTAATCAGGCAACGTGCCCAATCGCTGACTTGCATTGTCAGGTGACACTTTCTTAATGTTTTTGACAAGTTTGTGTTTTTCAGGAATTTGAAGATGACCCGAAGATATTTCTTCTTGCAGTTTATGGCTCTAAGAAATATATAAGTCATGTGCTAATGTGTCCATAATTGGTTCCTTCCGGTGGGTTCTTGGTCTCGCTGACTTCAAGAATGAAGCCACGGACCCTCACGGTGAGTGTTGCAGTTCTTAAAGGTGGCACGTCCGGTGTTGTTTGTTCCTCCCAGTGGGTTTGTGGTCTCACTGGCTTCAGGAATGAAGCTGCAGACCCTCGCGGTGACTGTTACCGCTCATAAAGGTAGTGTGGACCCAAAGAGTGAGCAGCAGCAAGATTTATTGTGAAGAGCAAAAGAACAAAGCTTCCACACAGTAGAAGGTTACTGGAGCAGGTTGCTGCTGCTGGCCCGGGTGGCCAGCTTTTATTCCCTTATTTGGCTCCACCTACGTCCTGCTGATTGGTCCATTTTACAGAGTGCTGATTGGTCCATTTTACAGAATGCTGATTGGTCCGTTTTTACAGAGTGCTGATTGGTGCATTTACAAATCTTTAGCTAGACACAGAGCACTGATTGTTGCGTTTTTTACAGAGTGCTGATTGGTGTGTTTACAAACCTTTAGCTAGACACAGAGCACTGATTGGTGAGTTTTTACAAAGTGCTGTTGGTGTGTTTACAAACCTTTAGCTAGACACAGAGTGCTGATTGGTGCGTTTTTACAGGGTATGGATTGGTGCATTTACAAACCTTTAGCTAGACAGAAAAGTTCTCCAAGTCCCCACCCAACCCAGGAAGTCCAGCTGGCTTCACCTCTCACTAAGATTATGTGCAATCTATTGAATAGACTGAATTTCATGGGAGTGGGCAAGCAGAGTGTTTTTTCTTCTTATAAATGTCTACGTTAGGCCATTTTACATCACTATAAAGGAATATCTGAGGCTGGGTAATTTATAAAGAAAATAGGTTTATTTACATTCACATTTGTGCAGGCTGCACAAAAAGCATGGTTCCAGCATCTGCTGCTGGTGAGGGCTTAGGAAGCTTCCTATCAGGGCAGAAGGCAAAGGAGGAGCAGGCATGTTTCATGGTGAGAGAGGAAAGAAGAGAGAGAGATTATGGGGAGGTCCCATGCTCCCTTAAACAAGCAAATCTTGTGCAAACTCCAGTGAGAACTCACTTATTATTGCAAGGAGGGCACCAAGCCATTCATGAAGGATCCTCCCCCATGACCTAAACTCTTTTAGGCCCCACCTTTGATATTGGGGGTTACATTTCAAGATTTGCAGGAGACACAGATCCAAACCATGTCGCTGTTTTTAAACCTTTAACATTGTGCAATTATCTTTCTCTCTCTCTCTCTCTCTCTCACACACACACACACACACAGACACACAGATGAGTTTATTTCTAACACCTTTTTTCTAATTCATCACTGATTATGTTTCATTTGTCAATACCATCTGGCCAAAGACCACTAAGAACACACTTGCAGTTAAGCAAGTTGGATTTCAAATCTGTTACACCCAGGTATACTCTAGGAAACTGTAGGGTATCTTATTAAGATGGTGTTAGAAAGACTTAGCATAGAGTTTCAGCTTCTCTTAGGTGATTTTGGGGAGATTTAAAGAAAAGGGGCTTTGCTTTTGCTTGCGTATTGTCAGAAAGTAGAGTACTTGTATGATTGGGTTGGGAATCTAAATAAATATCTATGAAGAGGGCTGACTAGAGAAAAAATATAGTTATAAATGGTAAAAAAAAATTGGAGTCACTTATTTTAGTCAGAAGAGAAGTATGCTTGGTATTTTGTAACTTGGACAATGATCATGTTTGTCTATGTTCAGACGTAATTATGGAAGAGTCTTATTTTTATTTCGGTTATTCTTTATCAGAGAATGACTTTGTCTGATATTTATGTTCTGTGACATTATTTATGTTCAACAGAAGAACGCCAAGTCCTGGCTGTGAATATCATTCTGGCTCACAGTGACACCAAAGCCTGGGCGATAGTGTCAGAGCAGGTTCTGAATGTCAAGGGCTGCTTATCTTATATTATGCCTTACATTGGTTTATGCATTTTTCCCTCTAAGATAATATACCTCTTGGATTAAAGGATTATGTATTATCATACCCCAGGAACTCTCTATAGCACCAGGCATGTAATAGGGTCACAATGAATATTAGTGGAATTAATGTCTTAATTAACAAAATGTGACTAGTTTTCTAAAAATAAACATTTGAAAGGAATACTCTTATTTACTCAGTGTTCATCTATTCCATCATCATTAACTGGTATATAGATATAACCAGTAAACAGTGCACTCCTTATCAGAAAAATATAAGTACAGACCCTAAAATATATTTTTCTTAAAAGAAGTATCATGGTTTAAAATGAACTGCATCACAAAGGATATAAAATTAGTTACAGTTTGTGATTACAGCTTTTAGGCAGCAGCTTTGTAAAGGAAATTTAAATTATTATCTCTATTTGATCATTGACATCTTTGTCAATTTTTGATTTCACAGTGCAATTATAACATTTTCTCTTAGAAAAGTCTTGTAATGAGCCTAGGTTTGTTCACCTTGGATTCCCAGATACTACTTACGAAAATAAGAGTATGGCATCTCATATCTGGGGTCATGTTCCTGAGCACAAACTGGTGACACTGTGATGATACATTGCAATAGTAAATAATTAAACTTACTTCTCTCCTCTCCCTAGTGCTCCACTGACAGATGAGACTGGGTAGTATATTATCACAGCACCATTGTACTAGTGATGCATTGGAACAGAGTGCCACCAGAGAGTCTTTCCCCTAAGTGAAATATGGATCTGTCACAGGGTTTTAGACATCTAAGTATGCATTTTCAAATCCACTCCATGGGCTTGAGAAATAAAATCAAAGTTTTTTTATTTTGTTAATCATAATATATCAAATATTGCAATGCAAGTGTGTGATAGCTGGGAGCTCAATCAATTCAAACTCATAAATAATGTATTTTCCTTGTATTGTATATATGTGAAAAGGTTAACTTATCTTCTGTGGAAAAAGCTTAAGGTATAAAGGGCAGATACACTAAACAACTGTCCACAAGACTGAGTGTTATTATGGACTTCAGGATGTATAGAGGCCATTTATATGAGCTTTAAGGAAAATGTTCTCTGAGCTGCCTTGCAAGAAAAAACTGATACAGTGAAAATATCTATTTTTTTACTTTTAAATAAGCTTTGAGACCTTTTCTTCCAAAGTGTAAAGGCTACAGTTTCAACCCCACATATTTACTTAAGTGGTTCCAACTGAACAGAATAAATGAGGGCATGAAGATTCACTTGGCAAGCTGAAAAATAAAAAAGAAATGAAAAGGCTATGAAATCCATTCCAGCTACTTTATGGCAACTTACGTGTATCCTTTTCAGAAAAGCTAGATTAGTCTGACCCAAAATAACCATCCAATGTATCAACTGAGCCAAAGAACCATCAAGCTATGTGAGCATATGGGGAAGTGTACTAGGACTACCTGCCCAGAGTGCCTTAATAAAACCTGTATGTGGCAAAGGAGACACAAATAGGGCTTGAAATCCATTCCATACTCTGCTCACCAAGCCAGTGGTTTTAATGTGGAGGGGTTAACTCAGAGGATGGGGGATTTGGAGAAGGTGACATTTATGAATGGTCTGCCCATAGGAACATATTTTTTATAACTAGCACAGAAAGGCCATATGTGCTAACAGAGTACCTCAAAAGGAGGAAAAATGGTCAGGCTTTTCTAAGAAGTTACAGGAAATCGAGCCTAGCCTTCATTTGGCCAGATGCTATACGGAATAGTAACCCTATCAGGACTCAGATTCCTTTAGCAACTGTAAACAAATTGACTGGGTATAGGAAACGACCCCTTTCAATACCCTTCATCCCTGGCTTTTTGCAAAATCTGGCTCATTTTCTTGACTTTCAACACTTGAGTTTTATTCTGTACATTCTCTGTTGAGCTGGTTAAAGTTTTCAGTATGCAGACCCATATTTCTTCCTGAATTATTGTTTCCTGCATTGATGAAACCATGGATAATATTCACAATCTATAAAAATTGTATAGCATTGTCCTGTTAGAATGATACAGACCTTACAACTGAAGCTGAGTCCTAGAGTCTCCCAGGTTTGGCCAGAAATTAGTCTTTATTATCTGGATACTGGACATTTTGTGTTTCTTGGGGGAAATGAAGCACTTTGGGTAGCAAGGAGGCAACTCAAGAATCATGAATTTATTCATTTATCAGCCAGTGTGGGTATATTCAATACTTTAGCAATTGGTGCAGTTGTTTCAAATGCGTGGGATCAATGTAAGTCATGGGTGGAACTGACCTTGTGCTTCTACCGAAGGCCCTCTTCCCATTTATATTTTATAACCAAATCTTGTTGTCATTTTATTAACTGCCATTTGTGCTTCCCTGTCAGGTTAGGCCTTGCATCTTTAATCAGTAAATCCCCAGTACTTCATTATTAGAAATCACAATTTTCTTTTCTGATTTAGTGTAGTTTAATTTGAAATTTCTTACTTTGCCACTGAAGTAAACTAGTGTATCTAAGTATGTCTTCAGTACATTATTGCTTCATCTATGCATATATATCTTATCATTTATATCTTTAATCTCTGTATATTCATTGATTTCTTCTTTTATACTCACAAAAAGAATCAAGTTTTCCCATCCTAAAGTGGCATTTCTTCTAGCCTGTCTCTCTTGATCAAAAAGTTCTTTTAAACACCAAAGTTTTTGAAAGTAGAATCCTTACTTCTTTGCTTATATGATTTCACTCACAAATCCACTATAATCTGAATTTCAATATACCAGATTATAAATAGGTCTCTGCTAAAACAATTATTGATCTACAAAGAACCATTTCGATGGTTTATTTTCTTCCCTTAAAAATTTGATGCTTTCTGTATCAAAATACACTTAGCAATTATTAAACAATTACACTAAGCAGTTATTAAAAGCTTATCCACCACAATCAAGTCAGTTGCATCCCTGGGTTGCAAGGCTGGCTCCACATAGGAAAATCAATAAATGTAATCCATCACATAAACAAAACCAATGACAAGAAACAAATGATTATCTCAATAGATGCAGAAAATGTCTTTGATAAAATTCAACATCCCTTCACTTTAAAAACTCTCAGTAAACTAGATATTAATGGAACATATCTCAAAATAATAAGAGCTATTTATGACAACCTAGAGCCAATATCATGCTGAATGGGCAGAATCTGGAAGCATTCCCTTTGAAAACCAGCACAAGACAATGATGTCCTCTCTCACCACTCCTATTCAACATTGTATTAGAAGTTCTGGCCAGGGCAGTCAGGCAAGAGAAAGAAATAAAGCATATTCAAATAGGAAGAGAGGATGTCAAAGTGTCCTTGTCTGCAAATGACATGATTCTATATTTAGAAAACCCCATCATCTCAGCCCAAAAACTCCTTCAGCTGATAAGCAACTTCAGCAAAGTTTCAGGATACAAAATCAATGTGCAAAAATCACGAGTGTTACTATACATCAACAATAGATAAGGAGAGAGCCAAATCATGAATGAACTCCCATTCACAGTTGTTACAAAGAGAATAAAACACCTGGGAATACAACTTACAAGCGATGTGAAGGACCTCTTCAAGGGGAACTACAAACAACTGCTCACGGAAATAAGATAGGACACAAACAAATGCAAAAAAAAAAAAAAATTCCATGCTCATGGATAGGAAGAATTAATATCATGAAAATGGCCATAATGGCCATACTGCCCAAAGCAATTTATAGATTCAATGTTATACCCATCAAGCTACCATTGACATTCTTCTCAGAATTAGAAAAAACTACTTGAAATTTCCTATGGAACCAAAAAAAGAGGCCATATAGTTAAGACAATCCTAAGCAAAAAGAACAAGAAACCTAAGCAAAAAGGCACTACTCTACCTGACTTTAAACAATACTACAAGTCTACAGTAACCAAAACAGCATGGTACTGGTACCAAAACAGATATATAGATGAATGGAACAGAACCGAGTCCTCAGAAATAACACCACATATTTACAGCCATCTGATCTTCAACAAACCTGATGAAAACAAGCAATGGGGAAAGGATTCCCTATTTAATAAATGGTACTGGGAAAACTGGCTAGCCCTATGCAGAAAACTGAAACTGGACCCCTTCCTTACACCTTACATAAAAATTAACTCAAGATGGATTAAAGACTTAAATGTAAATCCCCAAACCATAAAAACCCTAGAAGAAAACCTAGGCAATACCATTTAGGATACAGGCATGGTCAAAGATTTCATGACAAAAACACCAAAAGCAATTGCAACAAAAGCCAGAATTGACAAATGGGATCTAATTAAACTAAAGAGCTTCTGCACAGCAAAGGGAACTAGCATCAGAGTGAACAGGCAACCTACAGAATGAGAGAAAATTTTTACAATCTACTCAGCTGACAAAGGTCTAGTATCCAGAATCTACAGGAACTCAGACAAATTTACAAGAAAAAAAAAACAGAAAACCCCATCAAAAAGTGGGCAAAGGATATGAACAGACACTTCTCAAAAGAAGACATTCATATGGCCAACAAACATTTGAAAAAAAGCTCATCATTACTGATCATTATAGAAATGCAAATCAAAACTGCAATGAGATATCATCTCATGTCAGTCAGAATGGTGATTATTAAAATGTCAGGAAACAATAGATGCTGGTGAGGCTGTGGAGAAGCAGGAATGCTTTTACACTGTTGGTGGGAGTGTAACTTAGCTCAACCATTGTGGAAGACAGTGTGGTGATTCCTCAAGGATCTAGAACGAGAAATACCATTAGACCTAGCAATCCCATTACTGGGTACATACCCAAAGATTATAAATCATTCTACTATAAAGACGTATGCACATGTAGGTTTATTGCAGCACTATTTACATTAGCAAAGACTTGGAACCCACCCAAATGTCCATCAATGATAGACTTGATAAAGAAAATGTGGCACATATACATCATGGATTATTATGCAGCCTTAAAAAAGAATGAGATCATGCCTTTGCAAAGACATGGATGAAGCTGGAAACCATCATTCTCAGCAAACAAAGGAACCAAAAACCAAACCCCACATGTTCTCACTCATAAGTAGGAGTTGAACAATGAGAACACATGGACCCAGGGAGAAGAATAGCACATACCAGGGCCTGTCCTGGGTTGGGGGACAAAGAGCAGGACAGCGTTAGGACAAAGAGCAGGACAGCATTAGGACAAATAGAAAATGCATGCAGTGCTTAAAACCTAGATGATTGATTGGTAGTTGCAGTAAACCACCATGGCACATGCATACTTATGTAACAAACCTGCACATTTTGCACATGTATCCTGGAACTTAAAGTAAAATTTAAAAACAAACAAATAAAAAAGACAAGTTAATAAAAAAAAAAGATACCTGAAAATGTGGAAGCAACTTTGGACCTGGATAACAGACAGAAGTTGGAAGAGTTTGGAGGGCTCAGAAGAAGACAGGAAGAGAAGCAAAGTTTGGAATTTCTTTTGAGACTTGTTAAGTTTTTGTCACCAAAATGCTGATAGTGATGTGGACAGTGAAGGCCAGGTTGATGAGGTCTCAGAGAGAAACAAAGAATTTATTGGAACTGAAGCAAAGGTCATTCTTGTTATGACTTAACAACAAATTTGGCTTCATTTTGTTAATGTCCTAGGGATCTGTGGAAGTCTAAACTTAAGACTGATGACTTATAGTACCAGGTGGAAGAAATTTCTAAGCAGAAATACATTCAAGGAGTTGCATGGCTGTTTCCAACAGACTGTGATCAAATATAGGAGTAAAGGAATGACTTAAAGTTGGACTTTATAATTAAAAGGGAAGCAGAGTGTAAAAATTTAGAAATTTAACAATGTGGCCATGTGGTAAAGAGGGATAAAACATTTTCAGGAGAGAAATATAAGTGGGTTGCAGAGAAGCCACTTGCCAGAGAGGGAGCCAAGATAATGGGGAAAAAGCTGTAGAAGACATTTCAGAAATCTACAAGGTAGCCCCTCCAATCACAGGCCCAGAGGCCTAGGAGTAAACAACGGTTTCAAGGGCCAGACACAGGGTCCCACTGCCCTGCACAGCCTTGGCACACTGCTTCCTGTATCCCTGCTGCTCCAGCTTCAGTCATGGTTCAAAGTCCTAAGTGCAGCTCAGACTGCTACTCCAGAGAGCACACACTGTTAGACTTGACAACTTACATGTGATGTTTACTCTGCAGGCACACAGAATGCATGAGTGGCGGAGGTTTGACAGTTTCTACCTAGATTGCAGAGGATGTATGGGAAAGCCTCAGTGCCCATGTGAAGCTTGCTGCTGTGGTGAAGCACCACAGAGATACTCTAACAGGGCAGTGCTGAGGGAAATGTGAGACTGTAGTCCCTACCAGGGTACTGCCTAGTGGAGCTGTTGGAAGGAGGGCAATGCCCTCCAGACTCCAGAACAGTACAGTCACCAGCAGTTTGCACTCTCAGTGGGAAAAAAACTGTAGGCACTTAACTCCAACCCATAAGAGCAGCCATGTGGGCTGCGCCCTGTAAAGCCACAAGGGCAGAACTGCCCAAGGGCTTGAGAGCCTACCCCTTGCACCAGTGTGCCCTGGATGTGAGACATGGGGTCAAGGATTATTTTAGAGCTTTAAGGTTCAATGTCTGCCCTGATGGGTTTCAGGCTTGCCTGGAGGCTGTTTTCCTTTCTTTTGGTGGATTCCTCCCTTTAGGAATGGGTATGTTTATCCAATGCCTATTCCATCATTGTATCTTGGAAGTAAATCACCTGTTCTTGATTTTACAGGTTCATAATTGGAAGGAGCTTGCCTCGCCTTGAGTCTCTGATGAGACTTTGGACACTGACTTTTGAGTGATGCTGCAATGAGTTATGACTTTTGGGGACTATTGGGAAGGGGTGATTGTATTTTGCAGTATGAGGAGAACATGAAATGTTAGAGGTGCCAAGGGTAGAGTGATATAGTTTGTATGTTTTGTCCACTCCAAATCTCATGTTGAAAGGTGATCCCCAATGTTGGAGGTGGGGCCTAATAGGATATATTTGGGTCATGGGTGGATCTCCCATGAATTGCTTTTTGCTGTCCTTGCAGTTATGAGTGAGTTTTCACTCTGTGAGTTCATTTAAGATTTGGATGTTTAAAAGAATCTTGCACTTCCTCCTTTGCTCTCTTGTTCCCTTTCTTGCCATATGACACACTGGCTCCCCCTCACCTTCTGCTGTGAGTGAAAGCTAGATGCCAGCATTCTGCTTGATGTACAGCCTGCAGAACCATGAGCCAAATAAATCTCTTTTCTTTATTAATTACCCAGTCTCAAGTATGTATTTAGGTCAATGAAAACAGACTAACACAGTGCCCCACTCTGCAAAAAACTAGATTAGGTGATGAGACAATAGTATAAAAAGTAGTTTTATGAGTCTCAACAAATGGAGGTAGAGACAAAACAATATAAAACACTTATAAGTTAGCAATTATTTTTAAGAGGATATAAAAATAAAAATATCTTTAAGGTGATCACATTTGAACAAGAATTAAAAAAATATTTAGGGAGGAAATTGATATGATGCAATTTACAGTATAAATGATGTGTAATCAGTTAAAGGTAACAAACTCTGGAGTGGAAAGTCTTTGCACATTTAAAAATACACTATACAATGTCAGCAGGAGCTGTGGGTATATGTTAAGCCAAAGGATTTATGAAGAGAAATCATGTTTTGAAAAATAAGGATAATACATGGATGGAGAGAAGGTTATTCTGAGTAGATAGAAGTTACCTAGAACCAGTTTTGGAAGGTAGAAGTAGAACAGTTGCTTTGAAGGGTGATTAAACTTTAGATTTGTCCAGGCACAGTGGCTCACGTCTGTAATCCCAGCACTTTGGGAGGCCAAGGTGGGAGAATCGTTTGCACCCAAGAGTTCAAGACCAGCATAGACAACATGAAGAGACCCCCATCTTCAAAAATAAAAATAAAAACTTAGCCCTGTGAATCTGTCTGATCGTGGGCTTTTATTAGTTGGTAGGCTATTAATTACTGCCTCAATTTCAGAACTTGTTATTGGTCTATTCAGGGATTCACCTTCTTCCTGGTTTAGTCTTGGGAGGGTGTATGTGTCAGGGAATTTATACATTTCTTCTAGATTGTCTAGTTTATTTGCATAGAGGTGTTAATAGTATTCTCTGATGGTGGTTTGTATTTCTGTGGGGTCAGTAGTGATATCTCCTTTATCATTTTTATTGTATCTATTTGATTCTTCTTTCTTTTCTTCTTTATTAGTCTAGCCAGTGGTCTATTTTCTTAATACTTTCAAAAAACCAGCTCCTGGATTCATTGTGTTTTTGAAGGATTTTTCAGTTTCTCTATCTCCTTCAGTTCTGCTCTAATCTTAGTTATTTCTTGTATTTTGCTATCTTTTGAATTTGTTTGCTTTGCTTTTCTAGTTTTCTTCATTGTGATGTTAAAGCATCGATTTCATTCTTTCGCATTTGCTGAGGAGTATTTTACTTCAATTATGTGGTAGATTTTAGAATAAGTGCCATGTGGCACTGAGAAGCATGTATATTCTGTTGATTTGGGGCGAAGAGTTCTATAGATGTCTATTAGGTCCACTTGATCCAGAGCTGAGTTCAAGTCCTGAATATCCTTGTTAATTTTCTGTCTCATTGATTTGTCTAATATTGAGAGTCGGGTGTTAAAGTCTCCCCCTATTATTGTTTGGGAGTTTAAATCTCTTTGTAGGTCTCTAAGAACTTGTTTTAAAAATCTGTTGCTCCTGTATTGGGTGCATATATATTTAGGATAGTTAGCTCTTCTTGTTGCATTGATCTCTTTACCATTATGTAATGCCCTTGTTTGTCTTTTTTGATCTTTGTTGGTTTAAAGTCTGTTTTATCAGAGACTAAGGTTACAACCCCTGCTTTTTTCTTGCTTTCCATTTGCTTAGTAAATATTACTCCATCCCTTTATTTGAGCCTATGTGTGTCTTTGCACATGAGATGGGTCTCCTGAATACAGCACATGGATGGGTCTTGACTGTTTATCCAATTTGCAAGTATGTGTCTTTTAATTGGGGCATTTAGCCCATTTATATTTAAGGTTAATATTGTCATGTGTGAATTTGATCCTGTCATCATGATGCTAGCTGGTTATTTTGCACAGTAGTTTATGCAGTTTCTTCATACTGTCATTGGTCTTTATATTTTGGTGTGTTTTTGCAGTGGCTGGCACCAGTTTTTCCTTTCCATATTTAGTGCTTCCTTCAGGAGCTCTTGTAAGGAAGGCCCGGTGGTAACAAAATCCCTCAGCTTTTGCTTGCCTAGAAAGGATTTTATTTCTCCTTTGCTTATTAATCTTACTTTGGCTGGATATGAAATTCTGGGTTGAAAATTTTTTCTTTAAGAATGTTGAATATTGACCCCCACTCTCTTCTGGCTTGGACGGTTTCTGCAGAGAGATCTGCTGTTAGTCTGATGGGCTTCCCTTTGTAGGTGACCTGAACTTTCTCTCTGGCTGCCCTTAACATTTTTTCCTTCATTTCAACCTTACAGATTCTGATGTTTATGTGTCTCGGGGTTGATCTTCTCATGGAATATCTTAGTGGTATTCTCTGTATTTCCTGAATTTGAATGTTGGTCTGTCTTGCTGGGTTGGGGAAGTTTTCCTGGATAATATCCTGAAGTGTGTTTTCCAACTTAGATCCATTCTGCCCATCACTTTCTGGTACACCAGTCTATCACAGGTTTGGTCTTTTCACATACTTCCATATTTCTTGGAGGCATTGTTTGTTCCTTTTTGTTCTTTTTTCTCTCATCTTGTCTGCATCCCTTATGCCAGCAAGGTGGTCTTTAATTTCTGATATCTTTTCTACCACTTGATCAACTGAGCTATTGATATTTGTGTATGCTTCACGAATTTCTTGTGCTGTGTTTTTCAGCTCCATCAGGTCATTTATGTTCCTCTCTACACTGGTTATTCTGTCTAGTTAGCAGTTCCTGTAACCTTTTATCAAGGTTCTTAGCTTGCTTGCATTGGGTTAGAACATGCTCCTTTAGCTCTGAGGAATTTTATTAGCCACCTTATGAAACCTACTTGTGCCAATTCGTCAATCTCATTCTCCGTCCAGTTTTGCCCCCTTGCTGGAGAGGTGTTGCCAACATTTGGAGGAGAAAAAGCATTCTGGCTTTTGGAATTTTCAGCATTTTTGTGGTGGTTTTTCCCCTTCTTCATGGATTTATCTACCTTTGATCTTTGAAACAGATGACTTTTGGATGGGTTTTTTGTGGGGGGTTCTTTTTTGTTGATGTTGTTGTTGCTTTCGGTTAGTGTTTCTTCTAACAGTCAAGCTCCTCTTCTGCAGGTCTGCAGGTCTGCAGTTTGCTGAAGGTTCACTCCAGACCCTGTTCACCCAAGTGTCACCAGTGGAGGCTGCATAACAGCAAAAATTGCTGCCTGCTCCTTCCCCTGGAAGCTTCGTTGCAGAGGGGCACCTGCCTGATGCCAGTTGGAGCTCTCCTGTATAAGGTGCCTGTTGACCCCTGTTGGGATGTCTCTCCCAGTCAGGAGGCACGGGATTCAGAGACCCACTTGAGGAGGCAGTCTGTCCCTTAGCAGAGCTGGTGTACTGTGCTGGGAGAATCCCCCTTGTCAGGATCAGCTGCTCTCTTCAGAGCCGGCAGGCAGGAAAGATTAAATCTCCTGACGCTGTGCAGGCAGCCGCCCCTTCCCTCAGGTTCTCTGTCCCAGGGAGTTGAGACTTTTATCTGCTGCATTTCCTTCAGAGACACCCTGCCCAGCGAGGAGTAATCTAGAGAAGCATTCTGGTCACAGCCACTTTGCCACGCTGTGGTGATTTCTGCCCAGTCCAAACCTCCCAGTCTCCTTAGCACTGTGAGGGGAAAATCGCCTACTAAAGCCTCACTATTGGTGGATGCCCCTCCCCCACAAATGTCGACCGTCCCAGGTCGACTCCAGACTGCTGTGCTGGCAGTGAGAATTTAAGCCAGTGGTTCTTAGCTTGCTGTGCTCTGTGGGAGTGGGACCTGCTGGGCGAGACCACTGTTTCCCTGGCTTCAGCCCCCTTTGCAGGGGAGTGGACAGTTCTCCTCTCTTGCTGGGGTTCCAGGCACTGCTGGGGTATGAAAAAAACTCCTGCAGGTAGCTCGGTGCCTGCCCAAACAGCCGCTCAGTTTTGTGCTTGAAACCCAGGGCCCTGGTGGTGTAGGCTCACGAGGGAATCTCCTGATCCACAGATTGCAAAAGTCCGTGGGAAAAGCGTAGTACCTGGGATGGGTAGCACGGTCCCTCACCACTTCCCTTGGCTGGGAGAGGGAGGTACCCCGGTCCTTGCACTTCTCAGGTGAAGCCACACTCTGCCCTGCTTCTGCTTGCTCTCCATGGTTTGCACTCACTGCCTAACCAGTCCCAGTAGAATGAACTGTATTCCTCAGTTGGAAATGCAGAAATCACCTGCCTCCTGCATTGATCTGACTAGGAGCTGCAGACTGGAGCTGTTTCTATTAGGCCATCTCAGTCCCCCTCACTTTCAGGTATCTTTATAGCATCATCCCACTCCTAGGTATCAATCTTCTGTATTAGTCCATTTGTGTTGCTACAAGGGAATGCCTTAGACTGGGTAATTTATAAAGAAAAATGTTTACTTGACTCATAGTTCTGTAGGTTGTGCATGAAGCATAGTGCCGGCATGTGCTTCTGGTGAGGGCCTAAGAAAGCTTACAATCATGGTGGAAGGTGTAGGGGAGCCAGTGTGTCACATGGCAAGAGAGGCAGCAACAGAGTGAGGGAGGAGGTGCAATGCTTTCTTAAAGAAGCATATCATAAGTGAACTCACAGAG
Source organism: Homo sapiens (assembly GCF_000001405.40). Classification (NCBI taxonomy): domain Eukaryota; kingdom Metazoa; phylum Chordata; class Mammalia; order Primates; family Hominidae; genus Homo; species Homo sapiens. The sequence continues at coordinate 56,096,797 of NC_000010.11, forward strand.
CAAGACCTCCCTCGTACCCTGAGTACAGCACTAAGACATTCATGAGGGCTTTGACCCTACAACCAAACACCTCCCACTAGGCCCCAACTCCAACACTGCAGAACACATTTCAACATGAGATTTGGAGGCAACAAAATATCCAAACCATATCAGGAAAATCTAATCAATTGAATGGGTTCACATGCTCATCATTGTCTACTACCCTTGCAAGCAATATAGAATATCTTCTCAGCCACTTGTTAAAAAAATCTCAGAACCTCCATATATTTTCTGCTTGAGATTTAACCTTTATCCTCTGCTACCTTTCATCCTGTCTTTTAAATGGTCAAAAATGTATCAGAAAAAAGGGAAAATCATGTATACTATACTTAAAACTGTTAGGAAGTATTTTTTGAAAATATTAAAGTTATTTTCAAAACACAAAAATAAAATGATGGCAGACGTATGTTTGTTATTTCAGAAAAGGCACATTAGAGGGAAAATAATAAAATAAGATCTCATATCAGACTTACATTTTAAATTTTCATTTCAAAGAAGTAAATTAACCCAGAATAAACAGAATTCAACTTATAAGGTTCTTGTTGTTTGAAACTGTATTGCACCATTTCACAGGAAAACAAGCTGCTAAAAATTTAGCACATAATTTATTATTCCCACTTATATTTATATTTGGAGTCTTGTAGTACATACTATTTATTTTCAAGGAGTTTGGCCACCTATTAGAATCTTGTGATCTCTAAGAGTCAGAGTATATGATATTATTCATCTTTGTTTATGTATTAATTGAAATGAGGGCAGAAAATTCATAAAAAGTCCTTCATGATCTGACTTGATGCCACCTTAAGGAGTCACTCAGAGTTCAGGAAAAAAAATCACTACTTGTCAGATAATTATTTTAGTAGTACACACAAAAGAATTCCCAAATTGTGGAAGATTTAGTAGATATTTTAATAGATCCTATTTGTGTTTTCAATGGTCCCATCAGTTCCCACACTGCTTCCAACAACTCTTCTCTTTAAATATAAATGGGCTAAATGCCCCAATTAAAAGACACGGGCTTGCAAACTAAAGAAACAAGTATATATGACAGAGAACCAATTCAGCTCAGCAGCAGTTTTCCTCAAAAAGCTTGTCACACATTCAAGACTTCTGTTCAGCTGTATTGAAATGATGGTTTAATTCCCAAAGTCCTGATTACGATTCAGGTCTTTATATTCAGCCAAGCCTACTTTTTGGATATAAACACTCTCTACCCTGGTCAAAAAGAAGAAAAGAATAAGCAATGACATGTTTGTTGTCTTAGAAAACATCGGCTTAAAAGCTGAAACAAGTAATGGATCTCTTTCTTTCAGACTACCCAGAATAATCACTGCCTCTGCTAATCACTGTTTTTCTAACAGTATGTACTACTGATGGTATGAATATTTTAATACATGTCTTGCATTATTATTTGATCATTTGGGTATATGTGCTGGGGCATTCTATTTTCTTTTTCAAAATGTTATGTGTTCTCTGGAGAAATGTTTTGATCCCTCTCTCTCCAAAAAATACATAGACATAATTCTGTATGTGACTTATGAAAATATTTTTTCTTAATAAATATATACTCCTACATGACTTTGAACTTAAGCAGAATGAAAATGGGGAAAAATTGGGAAATTAATTGCAGTGGGTTGCTCTGTTTAGTAGCTCTTGTATCAATGTCCTAAATTCAAAACTACTTAACATATTTTACAGTACCCTAAATTTCAATTTGAAAAAGTGAAATTCAACACTATTTATGTTTCCTCTCAATAAAATAAAGTTTCTATTTGTATTTATTGGATGGTAGTAAAACAAATTCATGATGACAGAAGCAAAACATAAGAAATATATTTGTCATGCAGGGAAGTTATTAGAAAGTTGAATCAAGTAAAATAAAATTAAAATATTTACTCAGTTTTGTGGTAACAAAATAATTTGGCTTATTATAAATAGGATACTTTTTAGCTCACATAAAAATTTAAAGATGGTTTTAGTTCAAGAAGCACAAACTTCTATACAATGGTGCTCACAATAATAAGTTTTTAGAGAAGTATTAGTGGGTATAGTCCATAATTTTCTCATTGTAAGATTTTATGGGTTAGGAGAAATATGGTTTGTGGAAGAGACTAAAAACTACAAAAATCAATGATGTGAGTTTACTTTGCAACCAGTGGCACTAGTTGATTTTTATATCAGCTCTTCCTAACTTTCTATCTCTTTCAGTGTAAAAGTGAATCATCAATCTGTGCTATATAGTTCTCTCCCACACTAATATTTATAAAGTATATGAAAGACAAACATCTGTCTTCTTTAAAAATACATTTACATAGTGGCATATTCCCTTTTTAACTTAATAGAGCTGTTTAGACAAATATAGAAAAATTATAGTGGCATAGATCACTTGAGAAAAATATTTAAGCACACAAATTTATATGGATACACAAATAGATTTGTGTGTGCATATATATATATATAAAACCTAATACATTATCCTAATTTTGTTCTTCATAACTGTTAATCTGACACCAGTATATTTATTTATAATATTTATCATTTAAAGCAAAGATTTAAAATAGGATTAATTCAGAATTTATCTGATTTTTAAGGGCTTTTCTCATACAGAAGACCTCAAATCCCCTTAATTATCTCCCATCTGGCTTTCTTTGCTTGTCTCTATAGCTTTGTCCACTGCAAAGTTCTATTTTGTGGTGATATTTTTATTAATTTCCTCATGACTAAAACCACCATGAAAAACTCATATGAGGAGCAAACTTCACTAAAAACATTAATGTTTCCTGGGGAGGAGAGAAAAACTTAAAATTCAATACTATTCATGCTCACATTCCCAATACGATGAAGTTTCTAATTGTATTTATTAGATATTAGTAAAAAATTATGATAACAAGAGCAAAATATAAGTAATAGATTTGTTACTCAGCGAAGTTATTAATTTCTACTGGCTAGGGAAATAACTGTCTATGAAATTGTAGTAGATATTTTTAAATAACCGATGATCAAGATTTTTTATGTCTGGTATTCTATTGAGTATTGTCCACGTTATTACAGAATGTGTAAATCTGCGAAGACATAGAAAACGTTTAATTTCTAAACAACTAACACATACCAAAATCATAACAAGTTTTACAATATTTGGGAGGCAATGTAAGTTTTCATTAATTATCTTGCAAAGAACTTATTGCCAGTGAGTTTGATGCCTTATAATGACAATCTGCCTTGTCTTTAGAAAGTTGTCGCTGGTACATGAAATGATGAAAGCTTCGTAAACCTAGAATATAGTTTAGTTTTTGAACTGACTAAATATAGTCATATAGAAAATCCAATTTGCCATTCATAAATTTGTTCACATACTTCCAGCATAAGTATAGAAAATATATTATTCCACTTTATGTTGAGAATCCAATGTTATAGCCACCTAGGGATGACAAAATAACAATTTATGTTAAAAGAGATGTTTTTAGCCCATAATAGGAGATGGTTGCTATCTAAAATAAACTGTTCCTAGTAATTGTCATATTTTAATCCTATTCTCAGCTACCTTTACATGATATAAAACCTCTTTCATCCTGTGAGGTTTTCTATTGTTTATTAAAAGCACCTCTTCTATGGAAGTTTGCTGCAGAGAACGCTTTCTCCTCAATACCATTTTTTATATGTGAATGTGGAATCTGGAAGAAATATTAAACGAAAGTTAATGTTCTTACAAATGCACATACTTTTTATCCGTGTTGAATGAATTTTAGGTTGCTTTTTTATTTTATTTATTTATTTATTTATTTATTTATTTATTTGAGACAGAGCCTCACTCTGTCACCCAGGCTGGAGTGCAGTTGTGTGATCTCGGCTCACTGAAACCTCCGCCTCCATGTTAAAATGATTCTCCTGCCTCAGCCTCCCAAGTAGCTGAGATTACAGTCGTGCACCACCATGCCTGGCTAATTTTTGTATTTTTAGTAGAGTTGGGGTTTCGACATGTTGACCAGGCTGGTCTCAAACTCCTAACTTCAAGTGATCCACCCTCCTTGGCCTCCCAAACTGCTGAGGTTATAGGCGTGAGCCACTGAACCCGGCCTGCTTTTTTAAATTCAAGATTTTGTCATCAAAACCAAGCAAACTTATGTACACAAAGCTACTTACATGGTAGATGATTGCTAAACATAGAAATACCAGACACATGAGAGCTTATCAGTGTGTGATTTCCACAATCTAACTATCAGATACTGATATAGAGTTTGAATATCTGATTGAGGTAGCTTCTTTTTCACTATATTGGCTTTTTTTGCATAACTTTCGCCACTGCAATTAACTCAGTTCAGTAAAGACGTTATTTTGGGTAATACAAAATGATTTGTGATCCCCTGCCACCATAACCATACAGAAATCCCTGGTTGTATATTTTAATGAGAGATTTGAAATACTTCCTTGGGGATTTTAATTGACATAACCATACTACCATATATTCATATTTGAGGCAGCTGACTTTATGGCCAAGTAGGTATTTCAATTGCAAATCATTATTTTATTGGTAGATCAGATGATTGTGGCCTTATTTCATAGAGAAGATCCACTACATAAAATAAGACTGTTAAGGTGCAATAAAATTACTATTTTTATTGTACCAATTACCATCTTCTCACTTCTTTTAATTGTCTCATTCGTTGTAGATCAGAAATGGAAACAGCCTATTTTTCCTGAAATCAGTATGTTCCTGAATTCTCTGAGTATTTTTCCACTTAATGTAAAAAGTTAACTTTTATAGGAGATGGAATTTGATAAATTTAAAAAGTTAATCTTTATCATAACAAAGAATAAGTTCTGGATGAATACATTGCCTTACATTAAATAATTATGCTCTCTCAGTGTTTTCTTCTTGTAAATCATAGCTGACATATTAAATAGCTTAAATTTTGTTGTAATCCCCAAATCTGTAGTTATATGACATCCTTAATTTTAAATATTTTAAAGGATGGCTTTCTGATTGTCTCATTGCTTTCTATGTAATGTATCAAATAGTTTACTCCTTGGTAAATTAAACCAAGTTAAATGAGTTCTAGAAAACATTTAAAATATACCATATGCTGCCTACTTAGGGTACACTAATTAAAGTAAATCATTATATATTTCATCTATGTGAATTGTTATCTTCTGCCTTTGCATAATACACCATAGGGGCATAATATATATCTGGATAATCTATCATGTATGAAATGACATTTATGCCCCACAATGTGTATTGAGTGATGTTTATTTCTTATAGATGACATAGTTGCAATTAGTAGTCACATCTCTTCACCTACTCACTCCTAACCATGATGGTAATTTTTTTCTTTATTTTATTTTATTTTTATTTTTATTTTTTAATTTTTTTGGCCATGGTCTTCTTTGTCACCGAGGCTGGAGTGCAGCTGCTGCAAGGTTCACATCAACCTAGACTTCCCTGGCTCAGGAGATCCTCCCATCTCACCCTCCCAAGCAGCTGGGACCAAAGGTGCACGCATGCGCACTACCACCCCCGGGTAATTTTTGCATTTTTGTAGAGATGGGGTTTTGCTATGTTGAGCAGGCGGATCTCCAACTCCTGGGCTCGAGCGAGCCTCCTGCATTGGCCTCCCAAAGTGCTGGGATTACAGGCCTCAGCCACAGCACTCGACCAATGATGGCAATATTTTAATCAAAGTCTGGTCTTTTCAAATGTATCTAAGAAAATGTGGTAAAAGGAAACATGTATAACCATGTCTAAAGAGATATTATAAGGCATAAAACATTTTGGGAAGACTTTGGAAGAAATAAAAATAACTTTGAATTTTAGATCTCATTTTATATTGATATTTGTTTAATATTACCATCACTGAAGTTTGATTTTGCTTTAGGTCGTCTAATATTAAGAATTCTTGGGCCGGGTGCAGTGGCTCGTGCCTGTTATCTCAGCACTTTGGGAGGCCGAGGAGGGCGGATTACGAGGTCAGGAGATCGAGACCATCCTGGCCAACATGGTGAAACCCCGTCTCTACTAAAAATACAAGAATTAGCTGGGTGTGGTGGCACGTGCCTGTAGTCCCAGCTACTCGGGAGGCTGAGGCAGAAGAATTGCTTGAACCCGGGAGGCAGAGGTTGCAGTGAGCTGAGATCATGCCACTGTACTCCAGCCTGGCAACAGAGCGAGACTCCGTCTCAAAAAAAAAAAAAAAAAAAAAAAAAAAAAAGAAAATTCTTCCCTCTTTTATTTTTGTCAGATTCTCCCCTTTCCTCCCAACCAAACTCTCTACCTGTTGTGTTGTCCTCCTTGTTCCAAGGCTTATCTTCACCTTAAACATTGGGTTATTCCCATATTGAATGAATCTCATGCTAGTCAACTGTTTTTCCCTCCTTCTCTCTTTATTCCAATAAAATATCTAAACATTTATTATTAGGGTGATTGCCTTTCCTCCTTGATCTGAAGACAGAAGTTGTATCTGCTTTTAAAGTGGATAGGAGTCTCAGCACCTAATAAAAATGACTTGTGAAGCTTTTGCACCACATGTAACTTCATCCTTAAGAATATTTCCATTGTAGCATAATTTAAAAGTGTGTTGTTGACATGGCAATCAAGGTCAGAGAAAAAGAAGCAGAGAATTATTTGTAGTAGATATGGAAATGGGTAAGTAGAAGGATACTACGTGTATCCATATCTACTACAAATAATATAATAAATATAAAAATATAATTTCTAGGTTTTTAATCTATTGATAAAGTAAAATTTGAAAGTAATTTTTTGAAAGTAAAATTTGAAAGTAATTTTTTGGGTATATTCTCAATTAATTACATTTGATGTGACATTGAAAATTGTATACCTTAAAATAAATTTTTTAAACTTTTATTTTTAGTTCAAGCATACATGGGTAGGCTTGTTACATAGCTAAATTGTGTGTGAAGGCGGTTTGGTGTACAGATAATTTCATCACCAGATAGGTGGTTTGATGATCCTCACCCTTCTCCCAGCCACCACCCTCCAGGAGACCCCGGTGTCTATTGTTTCCTTCTTTGTGTCCCTAAGTACTCCATGTTTAGCTCTGATATGGTTTGTATTTGTGTCCCCACCCAAATCTCATGTCAAATTGTAATCCCCAATGTTGGAGCTTGGGCCCTGTTGGGGGTGATTGGATTATGGTGGCTGATTTCTGACTTTGATACTGTCTTGGGATAGTGTTCTCAGGTGATCTGGTTGTTTAAAAGTGTGTGGTACCTCCCCACTGCTTTCTTCCTCCTGCTCCAGCCATAAAGACATGCCAGTTTTCCCCTTGCCTTCTCCTATGATTCTAAGTTTCCTGAGGCCTCCCCCACCATGCTTCCTGAAAAACCTGCAGAATGGTGAGTCAATTGAACCTCTTTTCTTTAAAATTATCCAGTTTCTCGGGTATTTCTTTATAGCAATGTGAGAATTAATACATCTCCCACTTACAAGTGAGAACATGTCATATTTGGTTTTCTGTTCCTGTGTTAGTTCCCTTAGGATAATGGCCTCCAGATCCATCCATATTGCTCATTCTTTTTTAAGGCTGCATACAATTCCATGGTGTATATATACCACATTTTCTCTCTTTACTCACTCTACTGTTGATGGGCATTCAGATTGATTCCTTGTCTTTACTATTGTGAATAGTGCTTCAATGAACACACACGTGCATGTGTTCTTGTGGTACAACAGTTTATATTCCTTTGGGTGTATACTCAATGATGGGATTGCTGGGTTTAATGGTAGTTCCATTTTAAGTTTTTGAGAAATCACCACATTGCTTTTCACATGGCTGAACTAATTTACATTCTCACCAGCAATGTGTATTTCCTTTTCTCTGTAACTTGGCCAGCATCTGTTATTTTTTAACTTTTTAATGATAGCTATTCTGACTGGTGCGAGACAGTATCTCACTGTGGTTTTAATTTGCTTTTTTTTATGACGATTAGTGATGTTGAGTATTTTTTAATGTTTTTTGGCCATGTGTATGTCTTCTTTTGAAAAGTGTCTGTTTATTTACTTTGCCTACTTTGTAATGGAGTTGTTTTTTTTTTTCTTGTTAAGTTCTTTATAGGGTCTGAATATTAGACCTTTTTTAGATGCATAGTTTGCAAATATATTCTCTCATTCTATAGGTTGTCTGTTTACTCTTGAATGCTCATTTTAGCCATCTTTTCACGTGTGACAACTTAGCATTAAAAATCTGCCGAAAATCAACTTATCATCACCGGCATGCTTCTGCAATCTGTTCTGTTGTCAAGGTGAAATGAGAACTTAACAATTTCACAGTCAGTTCGATTCAGCAAACATTTTATGAAACATCTGCTATGTGTTAGGAATTTTTCTAGCTGTGGAGTGAACCTCAGTAAGAAGTCACACATAGCCTCTGCTCTAAGGGATTTTGCTATCTAATAATGGTAACATAAAAGTTCATGTACCTGTAACAAAAAAGAGTACTTAATAGATCTTAATAGATGCAAAGACAAGAACAACTGTGGCAGACTCAGAGGACTAAGGAATAGTCATGGAAGAGAAGCTTGAGATAGAGCTTGTAAGTTAGATAATATTTCAACAGGTAGAGATAGAGAATTCATATCTAGGGAAATAGTAAGCAGAGCTTAAAGGTGGTAAATTGCATTTGTCTATCTAAAAGGACTTACTGCAAGTAATGAGGAGATGGACCAATAAAGCTAATATAGGCTCAGATCTAGAAAATCTAGGATATTTGTTTAATAACTGGGAAGTTTGCAGTTTAAGTCATTTGTGAGTAATGCATTTATCCTTTATGTGTTTGTTAACTTGTATAAATCTTGCTTTTGTACATTGACTTTTTCCTGTATGAGAACCAGTTTACTAAAAAGCAGATAAAATATCTACAGATATATTTTTCCCACTCAACAATTTTTAAAAACTAAACAACTTTTTAAAAAAGTACGTTACATTTTTCCCAATTTTATTAAATGTGTAAAAAATAAAATTATATTGTTTTTTAACCCTAATCAGGGCATTGTCACATTTTTGCCATCCTTTTGTCTGTTTAAAAACTAGACAACTTGCTATTCAAAGGGATGTTCAGATTCAATGTAATCCTCACCAGAATAAAAATGGCATTCTTCACAGAAATATGAAAAACAATCATAACATTTATTAAAAAATCAAAAAGGACCCTGAAAAGCCAAAACAATCCTGAGCAAAAACAAACAAAACAAAACAACAACAAAAATGCTGGAGACTCCATACTACCTCTCTTTAAAATATACTACAAAGCTATCCAAAATAGCAAGGTGCTGTGATAAAAACAGATATGTATACCAGTGGAAGACAATGGAGAATTCAGAAGCAAATCCATATATTCACAACCAACTCACTTTCAACAAAGGCACCAAAAACATACATTGGAGAAAGTAAAGTATCTTGAATAAATGGGGCTGAAAAACTGGATATTCACATGCAACAGAATGAAACTGGATTCCTATCTTTTACCATATAAAAATCAACTCAAAATAGATTAAAAATTGAAATGTAAGACCCAAAACTATAAAACTGCTAGAATACAACATAGGGGAAATGCTTCATGCTATTAGTCCAGGCAAAGATTATTTGGGTAAGACCTTGAAAGCACAGGCACCAAAAGCAAAAACAGACAGATTAAACTCTATCAAGCTAAAACGTATCTGCACAGCAATGGCCACAACCAATAGAGTGAAGGTGCAACCTATAGAATTGGAGAATATAATTGCAGTGTATCCATCCAACAAAGAATTAACATTCAGGATATATAAAGAGCTAAAAGAATTCAATAGTTTTTAAAAATTTCATTAAAAAGTGTGCAAAGGACGTGAAGAGGAATTTCTTCAAAGAAGACATACAAATGGCCAACAGGTATATTAAAAAATGCTAAACATCACTAACCATCGGGAAATGCAAATCAAAACCACAATGAGATATCACCTCACATCTCTTAGAATGGCTATTACCTAAAGAATAAAAGGTAAGTATTAGCGAGCATGCAGAAAAAGTAAACTCTTATACACTGTTGGTGAAAATGTAAATTATTATAGCCATTATGGAAAAACATATGACTGTTCTTCAGAAAACTAAAAATAGAAATATCATGTGACCCAATAATCTCACTACTGAATATATATCCAAAGGAAAGACAATGAATACATTGAAGAGATAATTGAATGAAATCTTGCCATTTGTGGAGGACATTGTATTTAGTGATATAAGCCAGGTACGGAAAGACAAATACTCCATGTTCTCACTCATATGTGGCAGCTAAAAAGTTGATGTCATAAAAGTAGATATTAGAATAGTGGTTACCAGAGGAAGGGAAGGATGAGGTGGGAAGGGGAGATAGGAAGAGGTTGTTTAATGGGTACACAATTACAGTTAGATAACAAAATAACTTTCTAGCGTTCTATAGCATAGTACAGTTGACTAGAGCTAATAACAATTTATTATATACTTCAAAATAGCTAGCAGAGAGGAATTTGAATGTTCCCAACACAAATTATGAACATTTAAGATGATGAAGATAATACATATACCAATAACCTAAATTTGATCACTACATATTGTATACATGTAATGAAATATCATGTGTTTTATAAATATGTATAATTATGTATCAATTGGAATTTTAAAAATTGTATTAAGAAAAGTTGATATCCACCCACCATCATTCATCTAAAAAATATATAAACGATTTTATCTGTAAGCAAAACTGTTGACAACTATTAAATAAAAAATACATTTTCAATGTTAATTATTCAAATAACATATGGAGTAAACTATGGCAATATTTTTTCAAATTCACCTCACTCCTTTCATGCATTGAAGTAAAACCTTGATATCCATATAATGTGCATTCTATTCATTGTAACTATATATATATGAATATATATACATATCTCATTTTTGTAAATGGAGTCCTCATATATGCATTGTTATGACTAGTATTTATTTCTTATTAACAATGACTCCCAGATGTTTGTCACTCTTTATTCTATTCCTCCAGAAAAAATGCAACTATGAAAACGTTTGCTCATTTATTTTTCTCTACATGTGTAAATATTTGCTTTATAAATTAAAGCACTTAAAAACACAAAAACTTGAAAGACTTTAATCAAGAATATCAAACTTTAAATAATCTAATTATTATAGAGTTTTAATAAATAATCATTGTTTATGTTATAAAATCATACATACATGCCACTAGCTCTTTTTGATGTACACTATTTTCTTTTCTTCATTTCTGGTTGTATTTCTTCTCCCCTCACACTTCTCTGTCCCAAGTAACTCATGTTTAAAACCTCCTAATAAAACTCCATATGTTCATTCATGTGTGTATAATTGTATGCACAAAAAAGCTGTATATTTACATGTAAATACATATAGAAATATATGTGTGTATGTGTATTTATCTATTTGTTCCTAAACAGTTGATTCTCACTATTCATAGATTCCATATTTCACAACTCCCCTATAGATTGAATGTATTTCTACCTTCAAAGTCAATACTACTTATGGCCTTATTGCAGTCAGTATTGACATATGCAGAGCAGTGAAAAATTTGAATCACTCAGCTCACATTTTCTGAGCTGAAGTAGAATAAAGTGGTGTTCTTTCTTCTCGTTTCAGTTCTAATACTATAAACGTGTACTCTTTTTGTAGTCTATTTAGTCCCATTTTTTTTTTGCATTTTTGTGCTATTTTTGTTGACCTTATTGCTTAAAACGCCCTCTAAACATATGACTGAGTGCTGTCTGCTGTTCACACACACAAGAAGGCAGAGAAAATACGTATATTAAATAAGCTTTGTTTAGGCACGGGTTATAGTACTGCTGGCTATGAGTTCAATGTTATTGAATTAACAATGTATATTAAGTGATGTATTTTAAAATAGAAACACACATAAAACCAGTTATGTGTTGATTGGCTGACAAAAATGTTTTGGGTTGATGCTCACTGGAACCTAACCCTATTTTCTTCAAGGAGAAATTGTCCAATATTGCTAATTCAGTGTTTGCAGCAATTATACATAACATTACTACAAGTAATAAGACTATCTATCTATCTATCTATCTATCTATCTATCTATCTATCATCTATCCAAGTATGTTTTGAGGGCAACACTACCTAAAAGAATAAACAGATTCAGGACAATTGCCATCAAAATTCCAACAGCTGTTTTTGCAGATATATAAAAAACTATCTTCAAATTCATAATGGAACTACAAGGGACCCAGAATAACCCTAACAGTATTGAAAAATAACTGAGTTGGAGGAGTCACACTCCCTAATTTTATTATATTATTTATTTATTTATTTATGACAGAGTCTCGCTCTGTCACCCAGGCTGGAGTGTAGTGGCACTATCTCGGCTCACTACAGCCTCCGCCTCCCGGGTTCAAGCAATTCTTGTGCCTCAGCCTCCTGAGTAGTGAGCAGCTGGGAAAACAGGTGTAGGCCACCACACTTGGCCACTCCCTAATTTTAAACCTTATTACAAAGCTACAGTAATCAAAATAATGTGGTGCTGATGATATGGGAGCAGGGCGGGAAGTGCTGGGTAGAGAAAGGGGGTCCCTGGCTAGGGCTCCACCCCCATGGACCTAGGTGAGGACTGGAACACCTGCTTTCGAGTCCAAATGTTGCATTTTCCAAGACCACCCTGGCCTGCCACGCTCCCATCCTGGGCCTGTAGACATCCAAGACCCTAGCAAGGCAGAGACAGAAGCGGATGGATGTGAAGAGGAGCGGATTGGCAGAAGAAGACACAAGGGCTGGACGGCAAGAAGACGTCAAGGGGAGCACGCCAGCAGAAGGGCACACTGACAGATGCCGGCACGCCAGCAGGTCATCGACTGGAGGCTAGATGTGGAGTTTGGCCGGGTTAGTTGTAGGAGAGCCGGGGCTGTTGAGTGGCCCAACTCTAGGGGAAGACCATCTCCCTTCTGGCTCCTTCATCAGCTGAGAGCTACTTCCGCTCAATAAAACTTTACACTCATTTCCAAACCCATGTATAACCCCATTCTTCCAGTACACCAAGGCAAGAACCCAGGATACAGAAAGCCCTCTCTCTCCTTGAGACAAGGTAAAGGGTCTAATTGGGCTGATTAACACAAGCCGCCTATAGAAGGCAAACTAAAAGAGCAACTTGTAACACACGCCCAATGGGGCTTCAGCTATAAACATTCACCCCTAAACACTGCCCGTGGGGTTGGAGCCCCACAGCCTGCCCGTCTGTGTGCTCCTCTAGAGGTTTGAGCAGTGGGGCACTGAAGAAGCGATCCACATCACCATTGCATGCCCTGTGAGGGAACAAGGGAACCTTTCCCGTTTCACCGACACAGACATAGAGACCAACGTAATAGAATTTAGAGTATAGAAGAAATATACCTATAAATATGTAGTCAACTGATTTTTTTCAAGGGTTCCAAGTCCATTTAATGAGGAAAGAACAGTCTCTTCAACAAATGATGCTGAGACAAGTAGATTTCCACACGACAAAGAATGAAGATTTTGGCCATTTTTCTTCAAATATTCTTTCTGCCCCTTTCTGTCTCTCTTCTCTCTTTGGAACTTTCACAGTGCCTAGTCTGATTAGTCTGATTCCTGGTGTTCCACAAGTCCTTTATGCTCTGTTACCTCTTTTTCTTCTAATAACAGATAGTTTCAATTTTCATATATTCAGGTTCACTCATGCTGTTTTCTGCCTGCTCAGATCTGCTGCTGAATTGCTAAAGAAGTTTTTTTTTAGTCATTGTACCTTTGGATTCAGAATATTTGTATTCCTTTTAAAAAATGTTGATCTCTATTGATAGTCTCATTTTGTTCATACATCATTTTCCTGATTTTCTTGAATTCTTTTTTCAGTTTTTGTTTTAGCACTTTGAGAATATTTATAACAGTTGTTTTAAAATCAACAGCAGAACAAAACAATCCAATTTAAAAAATAGCAAAGGACTTCACACATCTTCAGAGAATATATACAAATGGTCAATCAGCACATTTTTATGAGTAGCTTTTTAGCTATTCAACCCCATTAGTCATTAGAATAATGGTAATCAAAATCATGAGATACTACTTTACAACTACTGAGGTGATTATAACTTTTTCCTTTTTTTTTTTTTTTTTTACTTTGTAATTCTCAGTGTAGGAGGAGGGACCTGGTGGGAGGTGACTGGATCATGGGGGAGAATCTCCCCCTTGCTGTTCTTGTGGATAGTGAGTGAGTTCTCATGAGATCCAGTTGTTTAAAAGATAAGTAGAATTTCTGCTTATCTGACTGGCTTTTTATTGTATAATAAAGACCACTTTTAGTTACTGTGTATTTTTTTAGTTCAATAATTTCCATTTGATTCTATTTGTTTGTGTCTTAGTTTTCTGTTATTGTAGCAGATTGCCTGAGACTGGGTATTTTATAGAGAATAAAGGATTGGTTTTGCTGACGGCTCTGGAGTCTTGGAAATGAAAGATCAGGGAGTCCCATTCTAGTCACTTTCTGGTGAGGCTCTCATGCTGCATCATCATAACATGGGAAGAAGTGGAAGGGGAAGAGGGCACACGCAAAGAGAGCAAACACCAGGAGGAACCTCTTTTTATAACCACCTGCTCTGTGGTAACTAATCCAGTTCTGTGAGAGAGAGATTCACTCATACAAGATAGCATAAATCTATTCATAAAGAACATAACCCCATGACCCAACTCTTTCCATTAGGTCCCACCTCACACACTGCACAATGGTAGTCAAATTTCAGCATGCATTTCAGAAGCAACAAACCATATTCAAACCATAACAGTATGGATTTGAGTTATGTCCATTATTTTTGTTTCTTCCAACTATGTTGTCCATATATTTTTTGTTTTTCTCATATTATTCATCAATATTTTCATAACTTTTGACTAATTCCAACATTTAATAGTTTGTGTTTTTGGTTTTATTTCCTTCTTATTCTCTTGGTCATTGGTGATATTCTTTACCTGTTGTGCCAGCTGCTAATAACTGGATTATGCCATTTGTTTCTTTCACAGAAATACCTGAAGATAAAAGAAAGGAAGTAGTTTCTCTTATATGGGATTTAACCATGATATAATTAAATTTTCTGTACAAAATACTCATATATACAAAACTATTTTAATGTTCCTGTCTGGTGTTAATTTTTGAACTGTCATTAACATTAACAGTCAATTCTTTAAAAATCTCTATTCCAATTCCAAAAATCTATTCGACATTAAAATTCTTATCTCTCAAATTTTTCCTGAGAGAAAAAATGAAATATGTGTGATGGATGAAGCACAGTGAGGTTAACAAAATGGCTAAATATACTCATACTAAAAGTAGGAAAATGCTTTCCAGGGCAGACTATGCACTTTTATTTTTATGAAACATTTGTCTTATAGTTGACTTGGTTACATGTTTGTCTTTCAAAGTAGGAAAGCTTCATGAAGGTCAAAATATAATCTCTTAAAATCGTTATCTCACCGTCATTGCAGGACTCACTGTTAGATACAGAATAAACCACTTGGATTTTTTTCAACTTTCCTATGAAACTTCTGATACAACAGTGTTTAAGAGGAGATAAATTTCAAAGAGGCAAGAAGCTTTCAGAGAAGGGCTGAGAATCTACATTTGACCTGGAAGTCATAACCCCATTCTTGGCACTGGCTTAGTATCAAGGTTTTTCCTTCAGGTCCTTTAAGGAATTATGAAAATTGAGTAGTACTGGAAGTTAAAGAATTAAGCCAAAGCCGTAGAAAAACAAAGTGGTATGTTCAAAGCCACTAGAATTGAACATGGAAGAATACCAAATAAGATTCTAAAGCCCAAGAGAGAGGGTAAATTGAAATTTTTCTGTGTGGTCACTTACCAATCTGGACACAGTAAGTATGAAGTTCTATATTATTGCAGTTTAATTTCCAATTCTATCATGAAAATGATGCTCATCTGTTTTTCATGTGCTTTTGCATGTCAATTTTTATATAACTTTATTTTTATAAAGTGTCAGCTCAAGTTTTTGCCTACTGATAATATATTATCTTTGTGTTACAATTTTTAATTTATAAAGTGAGATAGATTCAGTATAACAAAATAAATATATGACAAAGACTGTAAAAGTTATAAAGTACAACACAATATTTTTATGAATACAGATGAAAAAACCTATCCTCATGAAATGTAAAAAATTTGTTCCACTTACATATAAATATAACAAATCCTGATCAAATAAGTTTTATTATAGACTTTGTTTAACATTGGAAAATTAAATTAAAATTAAAGAAGGATACCTGTCAATATTATTCTAGAGAAAAATAAACATTTAAAAATAATGTTATTTATATTAGCATTCAAACCATCACGCATATTGAAATAAATAGAAGAAATCTCACGGTTCTGCATGCCTGGGGAGGCCTCAGGAAACTTAACAATTATGGCAGAAGGGGAAGCAAACATGTCCTTCTTCACATGGCTGCAGCAAGGAGAAGTGCTGAGCAAAAGGGGGAAAAGTCCCTCATAAAACCACCAGACCTCGTGAGAACTCACTCACTATCACAAGAACAGCATGAGGGTAACTGCCCCCATGATTAAATTACCCCTCACTGAGTCCCTCCCATGACACATGGGGATTATAGGAATTACAATTCAAGATGAGATTTGGGTGGGGACACAGCAAAACCATATCAGTGTGTGAATATCTATGTATGTAAATATACAAGTTATTTCTAAATTTTCATAAAAAATAATCTGTGAAAAAAACAATTTAAAGCTGTTTTAACATTGAACAATATATGATTGATGTAGGGACAGAAAAATAATAGACAACTTATAAATGAACCCACATATATTCAGTCACATGACTTATGGTAAAATGATCATTACAGTGAAAACTATGATCTTTGTAATAAATGATATTGGATTAACCAGATATCAACATAAAATAAGTTCTCACATTCATTAATTAACAGGAATATGCAAAATTAAGCTACAATACAATACAACTACCTGTAAAATAGAGTGTCTAAAGTAAAGAAAGTACTAAATATCAAGTTTGGGCAACAATGTGCAGCACCTCAAAAAGCGTTGATGTTGTAGACAAAATTTTTAATGGATAAAGTTGCATCATAAAACTGCCAGTAAGTTAAGAAGTGAACACATACAAATCCCATGACACACAATTTCACTCCTAGGTATATATCCCACTATAATGCTTACATATGTTTAAAATACATGGACAAACATTTATTGTAAATGTTTGTATTAGCATTGTTTATAACAGTTCAAATTGTAAACTTGCCAAATGCCTATTAACAGGAAAATTAATAAATGTGTTAAGTTTACTCATGAAGTGAGTAATGAAAACAAGTGAATACAGCAATGAAAACAAGTGAATAGTAACTCAGCAACAGTATTAATGGTTGTCACAGGCAAAAAATTTTAAGTGAATCAGACCAGAGGAGTATGTATTGTACGATGCTAATCATAAGAAGTTTTAGTACAGACAAAACAGATTAAGGCTGTTAAATGTTAGAAAAATGTTTATTTCTGTGTAGATAGTGACTTGAAGGTGACCAGAGTGGAGCTTCTGTGATTTTCTCAATGTGGCATTACACCGTTTATATTGTTTTTTCTAAGCGTTCTTTCTCTCAGCATCATGTGTTCAGATTGCCTAATATATCAGTAGATTACATCTTTATATTGTCAATTAGTATTGCATTACATCGATGTACCAAAGTTCGTTCATCCATTATCCTATTTAGAGTCATCTAAGCTATCTCTATTTTGGAACTATTTTGCCATTTATTTGAATTGTTTACTGTATTAACATTTAATTGAAAGATTCATATGGTTAGATTTCGGTTTACCATCTCTTATGTCTTTTCTATTTTACTCCTCAATTTTTTATTCTCGTCTTCCTTCTTTCTTGTCTTCTTTTGGTTGACATGCAAATTTTTGGAATTTAATTACTATTTGTCATTTATGTTTACCAATAACAAATTATTTTTAATATTAGCTACTCTATGGATTAAAATGTCATTTTTCTTTTATATTAATGAAAACTACTTATCATTAATATTTTACCACTTTACATAAAATATAGGTAATTTCAATTATCTACTTACATATTACATTACCATATATATAACATTTACATGTCATACACTTGATAAGAAACTATTGTGTCTATTTGTAGTCATGTGTATACTAAATAAATTAAGATGGCAAGATATTTTTTTCCATTTGTACATACGAGTATCTTTTTAAATGCTCCTAATTCCTTCATAGGGTCATAGATTTTGTTTGTTTTTCCCAGTGTAATTTTCTCTCAACTGAAGGAGTTTCCATTAGATGGTGATACATTTTGTTTATTTTATATTAAAAGGGATTTACCCTTCATTCTTGCAAGATATTGCCAAGATATTGAATATAATATTTTTGGTTAGGAGTTTTTTGGATCACTACATTAAAGATACTGGTTCACTGATTTCTTCCAATTTATGATGAGAAGTAAACAGCTACTTGAGTCATTATGTCCCTGTATGTAACATTACTTACTTTCCGATTGTTTTCAATTTTTTTTTTAAATTTGGATTTTAGAAGTTTGACTTTGATGCACTAGACATTGCTTTGTATTTATAATCTTTGACCTCAAGAATGTTCTGCTTCTGCAATATGTAAATTTACGTCTGTTACCAATGGTAGGGAATTATTTTTAATTTCAACTTTTATTTTAGATACAAGGGTTACATGTGCAGATTTGTTACATGGGAATATTATATGAATATTCCCATGTAATCCCATTACCCAGGGAGTGAGCATAGTACCCAGTAGGCAATTTTTTTTTACTCCCCACACTCTCTAATAGTCCATAGTGCCTGTTGTTCCCATATTTATTACCATGTGTGCTCAATGTTTAGCTCCCACCTGTAAGTAAGAATGTACAGTATGTGACTTTTTGTTCAATGGCATAGTTGTATATTGACTTAGACAGTAATCATATAAGTCAAAAATGTTTATTGAAATATAGTCTGACAATCAGTAATATAAAGATTATTTGTTTCAAAAATGAAATAAAAATACCAAAGCAAGATATTTTTATTTAACGTAAGTATTTTATGTAATGAAACAATATACTTTTGGTTCACATAATCAATTTAAAAGTTGACAAAGTGTTTACATTTTTTAATGATTTCACACTCCAAATAATCTGAAAATTGTCTTCTGCAGGGTCACATGCTCATACAGTCCAAACTTTCTGCATTGAAGATGTTAATAAAATATTTTCGATGCAGTCATATTTAAGCACATTAAATAGTACATTAATTTTAAAGTGTGCCTTATAATTATTTAAGTGAATCATCAGTAACCATAAATTGAATAAGTAATGAGAAAAATATATATGTGCAGTTTATTTCAGCATGTGATTGTTGGTGTTAACTCATACTTAAATTTTTTTTACAAAAAAATACTTAATGTAACATTTTCTTTTAAAGGCATCTTTATTAGAGAACTTTATTATTACTTAAAATTAGGTTCCTCTTCATAATTGATATTTTAGACTGTAGTTTTAATATATTCCTAATTCTAATGCTGGTGATATAAAAACAAAGTGATTATTTGTATTTTATTAAAGTAGCTAATATGTAGATGTCATTTTAAAAATGAATAGGTAAGGTCACTATTTCTTATTTTCTGCAGCATCACCATTTTGATTTCAAAATAGTTTCAAACATTTAAGTGATTGACTGATTATAAATGAATTCTTTTAGGACAAAAAGAACTAGAAAAAAGCTAGCACACAATCACAATGTTAAACCTAAGGCTGGTATAGCATTATAACTTGTGATGTTGCCATGTGTTTACAAAATTTAACTACAGTGAACAAAACCCTTTGGGTTTTTGCATATAAAATACTTGTGTCACCTACTAAGCTTCTGGTATTGAGCTCCAGGGAGGGAATTTGAACCAATCACTGTGGCTTCATGTTAGTAATGCTAGGATTCAATACTTCCTTGCATATAGCTAAGGTTTCATTCAGTGCAACGTAATGATGCCTCCTACTGGTCTGAAAAACAAATAGATAATTGCCTACTGAACAATTTGTCTCTAAGACATAATGAAAGAAAACTAGCATTATTGAACAGTAGCTTTGAGAATAAAAGCTTCTTTTGAACTAAGGCAATTTTTAAAATGAAATTGGGAAGGATATGTTGAATACTAAAGTATTTTGAGCTTGTTAAGATCTTAAGCAGAGGCAAGAAACATACAATTTGAAAATAGTGATACGATGTTTATGATTTTTTGACAACCAGGTTGTACCTGATTTTCTGAATCATTAAATTTTCTAGGTTGACAACCCCAAGAAATGTCTGCTTCATTAAAATAAAACAATGCAGGTGCATGTCAAATGTTAGTATCCAAAAACTAAAAATTTTAATTCTAGCATAAAGGTTCTCTTCAGAATAAACTAGTATATATGTGTGTGTCTGTGTATGTGTGTATGTGTGTGTGTGTATTAGTGAAAAGAAATACAAGTTATTTTCTTTTTTCTTGAGAAAGACACAAGTGTACTTCCATGTATTTTTGGACATAGGGATTGTTCCCTCACTGAGAGTAGTATTTGCTTAGCTTAGAAAATGGGTAAAATATGGATCTTACACCAACAGCTAGAGACAGAATGGCAATTTAAACAAAGCTAGGGGAAAAAAAGTTCCAGATCTACAGAGTAACACGATTTACAGTTTCTATTGTAATTATTGATGAGAGGAAATTAATAACCCTGGTAGCACTAACAGCAACAGGAGTATGACAGCACGGTATACATGTTATCCAGAGGTAGCTGAAGAGATGAAATTTGGCCATGTACAGGGGCTTCTTGGAAACCAAGTCCTGGACCTACGGAATATTCAATTAAAAATGGTCTATCTAATGAGCTCTTTTGTTTATAACCATGATTAAAATTAGAATTTTTAAAATAAAAATTTAAATATACAGAAATTGTAGCATTTTTATAGTAGCTAAAATTTATTGAATGCTAAATATATAGCCATCCATATTTTAAAAGTCTTTATATTTCCTCTTTATAACAGCTCAGTGAAATAGTTAATACAATTGTCTCTATTTTAAAGTTAAGAATTCTTAGAAAAAAATGAAATAAGGCTTGTATAATGATCAAAAGTTTCTGTGTGGCAGAACTAAAATCTGAACCCATGATTACCATGATTATTTCAAAGCGTTTGTTCTTAAAAACTGCCTATAAAGCACTTTCAGGAAGGCACATACTGTTCCCTATTTCTCTTAGTAAATATAACAAACAGTGCTGAATATTATTTACAAAACTTAAGAAGACTCTGAAAGATGAAGAGAAGTTGGACTTTCTGGGGATGTCAATACCCAAGGAGGGGCAAAGTGGTGAGTTACCTGGGTATTCTTTTTGATTCATATTTTACAGAACTGGAACTGAAGAAACAAGCAACCTAGAAATCGCAATGGGCACAGACAGAAAAGGCCCCATTGAAGGAGTAGGAAGGAAGCAGCATCACAATATAGAAACTTTGAGAAAATAATGGCTCCAATCCAGGCAAGCACCAGAGTAAAACATGCTCCACCCTCACCTACACCAACAAAGGCTAAGTGGGGAGTCTATATTTCACACTCACTAGGGTGTAAGGACTTACCCATCACACAAACCATGGTGTTATCAGAGATAGATAGGCAGAGAGTCAAGAAATTCCCCAGAAGTAAAAAAACACATTTTGAAGATGGCATGAATTCTATTAGTTTGTATCCCTAAATGAATGGATGTTCTTGTAACACCATAAATTGTAAGATGTACTATTTTTAAAGTACATTAACAAAGAAAAATAGCTGTCAATTTCAATGACAAACTAGCACTTATATAAGGCGACTCAATTTCAGATATACTAAATATATGAAAATTAAGGTGCTGCTTAGAATTTGTAAAATATAGTATACAGCAGGCAGTTTACAAAGCATTTTCATAAGCATTAAAATATTCATCATTAGAACTATCAATTGACTTATGGAAATATGATGTCCAAGAAGTGAAACGATTTGCTAAAATTCTCAGGGCAATTGTGTGGCTAAGCCTGGCACACAGCCAGAGTTTTCTGACTTCAGTACTCTATGGATTTATATATTTTTTTGTAAATACTGTACGGTTCTACATTTATATAGTCCTTGATTAGGTGGTAATAATGGTTGTCAGATAAAGCCATGTTAGAAGTTTAATACGGTTTCAGCTTGCAACTTCACTGCATCTGCATTTCTTGTCAATCAGCTGTGTGTGCTATTGCTAACTATAAATATAACCCCTTTTTACAAGATTAACATAGTGATCTTTTATTATGGCCCTTTTATAGCTTTATGTAGAATACATGTGAATATCCACAATTTTTCCCTATGGTGATTTCAATTCAACAAGGAATAAAGACTTGCTATCGGCACTAAATAATTTCATTGAATATATGATTTAAGTTGTTCAATACATTATTTGACTTCTTTAAATATTATGGATTCAGGATTACTCTTTTTCTCTGGTGTGTCTTCTATTACTCACCACAATCTTAGGTACACTATGTGGTATTATCTACTCCTCATCATCATAGTTTTATTGCGATCTTACTATAAGTTATCATCCCATGTTCTGAAAAAGTTTATGTTTCAGAAGGAGATTTGCATTGGTTAGGATAGAAATAGAAAATTAAAACAAATCAAGGATGTATATGATGCAATCTTTATCTTAATAAATTCTAGTTCCATCGTCCTATTGCCATCTTTCAGTAAATTCTTCCTACCTCTTCTCTCTCCTTTTTTTTCTAACACTTCTTAAGCTGGAAAATTAGAACTAAACATAAAAATAGATTTATATTTAAACTATGTGTGCATAAGAAGGCAGACATTTATTTCCCTTCAATTTTATATCTGAGTTCATCCACCACTTTCATTTCATCTTCCTCTGTTTTGTTTGTTTGTTTCTTTTTGAGACGGAGTCTGGCCTTGTTGCCTAGGCTGGAGTGCAGTGGCGCAATCTCGGCTCACTGCAACCTCTGCCTCCCAGGTTCAAGTGATTCCCCTGCCTCAGCCTCCCAAGTAGCTGGGATTACAGGTGTCTGCCACAACGCCCAGCTAGTTTTTTATAGTTTTAGTAGAGACGGAGTTTCACCATGTTGGCCAGGCTGGTCTTGAACTCCTGACCTCAGGTGATCCACCCACTTCGGCTTCCTAAAGTGCTGGGATTATAAGCGTGAGCCACCACGCCTGGCCCATCTTCCTGTGTTTTATAATATGTATTAGAATCCTTGTTGTTCTTCCTTCAGGTGTTTTTAAGTGGTTATGTACTTTTTGATATTTTGAGAACAGAGAGAAATGCTTTTTAATTTTTTTTTTCTGAAAACCACCATGTTTTAAAATACTTCCTCTTGGGATGTATGTTTTTCATGTAGTTATTTGTTTTTATTCCATTCTCTTTTTCCTCTTAACATTTATGTTTAAGTCCCACTCATGTTTCTTTCTGATTGATACTCAGTTTTAAATGGGATCAGTTGTTTACATGGGTGTATACAGATATAAGATGGTGTAACAGGAGTGAAGTACTGAAGTTGATAGTTTGGATTATTTTGCTTAAAATCCTTATCCCAACAGTTTATTATTTCTTTATCTTGGGTTAATATATTTGTTCAGTTTTATTTCTGAAAACATGAGTTTGGGATAAATTTTGTGGAACCAGTTTTTCTGTGTAATAATCTAGTAACTACCACTTTCCTTAAATTTTAAAAAAGTTGTTGATTGGATTATGACAACTCCTAAAGAATTTTCTTGTTAAGAATCATTTCAGTTAAGGTGGTTGTGAACATTTCACTCAATAATCTGATGTGGCAGTTATGTTATGTGATTGCTCAATTTTAATCAGTCATATAAATATGGAAGAGTAAGCTGAAATTTTCAGTAGTAAATACTATAGATTTTGATAGTAAGTGCCTCATTAAAAGGAGGTAAACCATTCCTTTTTCTTTGGGTGTAAGATTCAGTGGATGTGTTTAGGAAGAGAATAATATAATTTCAAGATATTTATGATATGTTTATATACCTGTGTATGAAAGAGAGATTTCTCCTTGGTCACTGTTTTAAAAGTCACATCCAGCCATTCAAGCAGTGCCCAATTATAGCTCCCACTGCCCTCAATGAAATGGCCACTTTTTTTCTGGCGTAATTTAATAAAAATTAGACAATTACAGAACCAAACTTCCAAGGAACCTTCAAAAAGTGAGAAGGGGAAAAAAAAGGCACATTTTGAACAAACTATTAATTTTAATGAGTCACTTGGGTAACAGGAGATTATTGCCTCAGTTAGTCTGAGCCATGCACTTGTGATGTAAAACAGTTAATGCAATTTCCCTATTCAAATAAAATTAACACTCATATTTAGTGTTCTTGAAAAAATTTTTGGCATATTTCTAGTTGTCAGTAAACAATCTTGGACTTGCATTTTCACATTTGTTTTAGCAAGTCATGCTATAGTAGTATCTTTAGACGCTGATTATCTGCTACCCTCATTGTGACGTAGTTTTGACCCTCAGCAAAGCTGGAAAATGCATGTAAGGGACCAAAGATTTTGCAGGCAAATATAGCATGGTTGAAAATACATGCCAAGATTTAAGTAAGGCAAGAACAGCATCCCCATTTTGCTCACCTGTCGCTGCATAGTTCCTGGTCATTCCTGTTCAGAAAGTTATTAGTAATCAATAAATATTAAACCAAATATGCCATGTACAGTTGGTCCATGTGGGGTTATAACTATTTCCTACACACTCTTGTATGCATTGCAAATGATTATATTGTCTTCCAGTGATGTAACAAGATATTTGGCACCAGGAGAGGGTAATTTTTTAAAAACCCTTTGTTATTGAATAAAAGCATTTTAAATAATAATTATATAATAGTTCAGTAATAGTAGTTTCTTGATTTTTTTAGTTTTAAACAATTAATGATTTTAAAATGATAAATTTCAATTAAAATGTATTATTCAGGTTCTGTAAAATATTGTATGTATAATTCAAAATTTTCCCCTTAAGAAAGATATTACATCTTGCGGTCTACATTATGTTTTAATTTTTAAAATTTGAAACCAAATAAAATCTCTAAATAGTTATAAAGAATGAGTGGATTGAAATAACTCAGATTCTATTCCTTCATCTTTACAACCATTGCAGCCATTGTGCTGTCTTTATTGATTTTTGAATCTACTATTTAAATGATAAATGGGAGCTAGCACAGGAGTAGACACAAAGTGTATCTGGTATTAGCTCCCAATTACAAAAATACTCTATTCATTAAAGGTTAGTGTCCCTAAGCCCACATTTTGAGTTATTTTGATTAACTGTCAGTTATTCTAATTAACATCCATAAAAACCACAGTTTCTTAATAGGTAACTAATAAAACATTCTTATGTTAAACATGTATATTTATTAATACAAAAACATAGATTAATAAAAGTCTTTTACAACCATGAGGTATAAAATTTAGAACACAAAAAGATTATATTTCAGGGAAGAATAGTACATAATTGGCCTTTTTTAGGCTTGCCTGCACATCAAGATAAGAAAAAAAGCAGACTATTAGTCAATTTTATTATTACTTTAAGGTTTCTAGGCAATTTACCTCCGCTAGGACTTACAACTCCTTACCTCCAGCCATTGGTATGGCTAATCTCAAGTACTTTATAATTGTGTTTGTGACCCTGTGTTTGTTTCTATGTACGTGTGTGTGCATGTGAATGCTTGACCTTATCTTCCATATTAGAAGGTAAAATTCTTGCATGTAAGCTCAGAAATTGATAAAGCTCTGCAACAGATGTGAATAGCAATCAAAACAATCGAACATCTAATTTGAGTATCTTAAATTATCTTACTTTTGTATTAATATATATTTTGGATTAATTGATAAACACCAAGGCCACACCAGCAAGAGTATTCACAACTTGAATCATTTGTGGAAATAATGATGTTTAACTTCTGTCTTAAATATTTAAAAACAGATGATATTTTTGTTACCAGTTACAGATGTCATCCCAAAAATTGAAATGCAAAATTTAAAACACTAATGCTAAATGTGTGCATGCACACAGACACACAAACACACACATACATGCGTGCACAATTCTGATGCTACAAATTTTACACAAAAATGAATAGACATTTAAGAACAGGTTTAGTTACCTTTGACTTTAAGGTGATAATTTATCTTTAAAAGTGCAACTATTCCCAGGTAAAATGAAAAGTAGAAAATATAACTTCTTGTGTCTGGCTTTTCCAGCAGCCCGCAGCCAAACCTAAGTTTGGTTATATAACCTCAAATAAAATTGGGAGATAATGCATTATAAGGTATCTTTAATGTGCTACCTAATTCCTTACTGTAATTGTTATTTATTAATGCACAACAAATACAGAGTATCCTCAAATCAGCAGCTTGAAACAATAAATATTTATCTCATAATTTCTGTGGGTCAGAAACTGAACACAGCATAGTTGGGTACCTATGACTCAGGGATCTTTCACAAGTTTGCAGTAAAAGTGTTGGCCAGGGCTGCAGTTTTATCTGCAGTCTTCACTGGGGAAGATCTACTCCCAAGATCACTCATGTGATTGTTGCAAAATTCAGTTTTTCTTGAATTAAGGCCTCAGTTCCTCAGGAGCTGTGGCTGAATGTCTCTTTTAGTTTCTTGCCACGTAGTCCTATCTGAAGACTGTCTGAAAACATGACAGACAGCTTCATGAATGGAAGAGTGCAAGGTAGAATGCCAATAAAATTGAAAGTGAGTTGAAGTATTAGGAATACCACAATCTTTTGTATCCTGAACATGAAAGCACTATATCCTCAATATAATGGGGCTATAAGTGGCCAAGTATAGTCCAAATACAAAGTGAGGAGAATAATATAAAGATAAAATACCAACAGGTAAGGATCATGAGAGATGATTTTTTAAATTTGCCCATTCAGTTACTACATGGACAGCTTCAAATTTCTGTACTTTCTATTATTGTACTATCCTATTCTACTCTGCATGTTCTATTTGTCTTTGTTATAAACTTAAGACCAGTTATTCCAAATGATTTAAAAGTTTAACTTCTCCCTTACAGCATGGTCAATAGTGGGAAAATAAATTATTTACTATGGAAACACATTATTTAAATTAAGTAATTTGCAAGGAATTCGAAAGATGTGCTTGTGTGTAGGGTTGGGTGGGCAATAGACAGCCTTTGAACGTCCACCTTCATTTTATTTTTGCCCCATTTTAAAAACTACATATTAAATTTAAATAAGTTTTGTTACTACTTACTGGATAAAATATTCTGGACAAGTAAAAAGTTTTCAAAATTATTTTATTTTTGTAATGATTTTTCTGTATTTTATTTTGAGCGAGAGCAATTATTAGTCATTATTGTATCATAAAAATAACAGAAAAATCCATTTTTCTTGACTTAATCTGGTAGGTCTATCAATGTTTAATTAAAACTGAAGTATTGATATAAACATGAAGTGAAAACAGAAGAAATAGATATTTTAAATTTTAGAATTCACTTGCACAATTTTATTTTTACAGATCTGATTTCTGTGACCATATATTAGCTTAGGATTTGCAAAATTTTATATAAATGTAAATATAGATTTTGCACATTCTCAAAAGGTCCTGGTTTCTTACACTTAGAAAAATTATTTTGACTTTCACCCATGTTGCTGTATTTAGTGATTGTCCATGAATTTCTTATTATTGCTAAAGAGTATTTTATTGTATGCATATACCACAACTTGTTTATTCATTTATTAATACCTCTTAATGGGCATTTGGGTTTCCCCCATATTGAGTGAAATTTAGTTGTGAATTTTACATAAATCTAATATTTGGGAGTAAACCGTATGTGCTAAGAATATATTTTAAGATTCTATTGTCTAAATTGTCTTTTTAATTTATCCTGTTCAGGGCAGTAATGACCAAGCCTAATAATATGTGTAAGTAGCGTTGGGAAGCAATGTGGGGAATTGGCCTTTGTGGGTTATGATGAATGTTCCTTATTTCTTCATATAAAATTGTATTTTATTTATTTTTATTTTTATTCTGTATATTCAAGGTGTACAACACAATGTTTTGATATACATATACACAATAAAATGATGACTATGGATGTAAATTAACATGTCCATCACCTTCCATCCTTACCTTTGTTATGTTACAAGAGTACCTAAAATCTACTCTGTTAACAGATTTTTAAAAATACAATACAATAATATTAACTCTGGTCTTTAAGGTACACATTAGTTTTTTTTTTTTAGACAGAGTCTTGCTCTGTCGCCAGGCTGGAGTGCAGTGGCATGATCTTGGCTCACTGCAACCTCCGCTTCCCAGATTCACGTAATTCTCCTGCCTCAGCCTCCCAAGTAGCTGGGACTACAGGTGCGTGCCAACACCCCCAGCTAATTTTTGTATTTTTACAAAATTTTTACAATCTCTACAAGAGGAGAGATGGCGTTTCACTATGTCGGCCAGGATGGTCTCTATCTCTTGACCTCGTGATCCTCCCGCCTTGGTCTCCCAAAGTGCTAGGATTATAGGAGTGAGCCACCGCGCCCAGCCAGTGCACATTAGAGTTATATGCTATACGTTAGATCTTTAGACTTATTCATTTATCATAATAGCAAATTGGGTGACCTGCTTCACCCAATTTCTTCCACTTCCATGATGCTGGTAACCACCATTGCACTCTGATCCAATGAAGACTACTGTTTTTTATATTGCACATATAAGTGATATCAGACAATCTTTTTCTTTTGATGTCTGAAAATGAAATGTCTTAGCAGACTGTTCTTCAGGTTCATTCATGTTGTTGCAAATGGTAGTATCTTTTTTTTTTTTTTTAGAATGAATAGCATTGTATGGTATATGAACACTAAAATGTCTTTATTCATCCACTGATGGACACACACTGTTTTCCCATATCTTGATTATTGTGAATAATCCTGCAATTAACGTGGGCGGGCAGATATCTCTACAAGGTAAGGATTCATTTTTTTGGGGTGCATAACCAGCAGAAGGATTTCTGGGTCATATGGTAGTTCTATTTTTAGTTTTTTTGAGGAAACTCTATTATATTATTTTTTATAATGGCTGTTGCAATTTATATTTTCACCAGTTGTGTATAAGAGTTTCCTTTTCATCACATTCTTGCCAACATTTAGTTCTTGACACTTTGATAATAGCTATTCTAAAGGGTGTGAAGGCCGGGCGCAGTGGCTCACACCTGTAATCCCAGCACTTTGGGAGGCCGAGGCGGGCGGATAACGAGGTCAGGAGATCGAGACCATCCTGGCTAACACGGTGAAACACCATCTTAAAACTGAAGTTGTTTAAGTTTGGTATAAACATGAAGTGTTTATAAAATACAAAAAAGTACCCGGGCGTGGTGGCGGGCCCCTGTAGAATCTACTCGGGTGGCTGAGGCAGGAGAATGGCGTGAACCCGGGAGGCGGAGCCTGCAGTCAGCGGAGATCATGCCACTGCACTCCTGCCTGGGCAACAAAGGGAGACTCTGTCTCATAAATAAATAAATAAATATATATATAAAAAAAATTTTAAAAGGGTGTGAAGTGATATCTCATAGTGTTTTTCTATTTGTATTTTCCTACTGATTTGTAATGTTGAACACCTTTTCATACACCTGTTCATTATTTGTGTGTCTTCTTTAGAAAAATGTCAACTCAAATTTTTTGCCCATTTTTAAATCTTGTTTGGTTTTGTTGCTGTTATTGAGTTGTGTGACGTTCTTATGTTTTTTGGATATTAATCCCTTATAGAATATATGGTGTGAATTTATTGTCTTCAAATCTTTAGGCTGCATTTTCACGTTGTTGATTGTGGTGCAGTAGCTTTTTTTGCTTGATGTAGTCCCACTTGTTTATTTTTAATTTTTGTGCTTGTCATCTGAGCTTTTGGTGTGATATCTAAAAATTACTGCCGTCTTTAATATGAGGCACCTTTTCTCCAATGTTTCTTTGTATAAGTTTTATGGTTTAAAGTGATGGAATTAGGTCTTTAATTCATTTTGAGTTGATTTTTGTGTATGGTATAAGTAAGGGTCCAATTTCATTATTTTTCATGCGGATATAGTATTCCCAACATCATTTCTTGAACAAATTATTCTTTTCCTATTGCATCTTCTTGGTAGCCTTGTTGAAAATTAGTCAACTGTATAGGTTTGGGTTCATTTCTGGGCTCTCTATTCTGATCCACTGGTCTCTGTGTCTGGTTTTATGTTACTATCATATTTCTTTGATTACTATAGCTTTGAAATATAATTTAAAATCTGGAAGTGTGACACCTCTTTTTTTTTTCATTGTCAAGCTTGTTTTGGCTGTTCAGGGTCTTTTGAGTTCATGCAAATTTTAAGATTGCTTTTTCTATTTCTGTAAAAAAATGAAAATTGGAGTTTTAATAGGGATTGAATTGAATCTTTATGCCATTTTGGGTAGTACAGACATTTTATCAATGCCTATTTTTCTAATTCATGAACTCAACATATCATTCCATTTATTTGTGTCTTTCTCGATTTCCTTCATCAATGTTTTATAGTTTTCATCATATAGATCTGGCACTTACTTGGTTAAACTCATGTTTAAGGATTTTAATTTGATGCTTTCATAAATGAGATTTTAAAAATTTCTTTTTGCATAGATTGTTATTGGTGCAAAGAAATGCCACTAATTTTTGTATGTTGATTTTGTATCTTGCAACTTTACTGAGTAACTTTTAACACTATGTTTTATGGAGTTTAGGGTTTTCTACATATAGGATCATGTCACCTGCAAACATGAATAATTATACTTCTTCCTTTCTGATATAGATGTGATTTTGTTGTTTTACTTGTCTAGTTCCTCTTGCTGGTACTCTCAATAGCATGTTATGTAGAAGTGAGAATGGGTATTTTTTGCCTATTTTTATATCATAGGGGAATAGCATTTATATTTCTTCATTGATTATGATGTTAGCTTGGAATTTTCATAAATGGCCATTATTTTGTGAGGAAAATTTTCTTTTATTCTATTTATTGAAAGCTTTTATCATGAACGATGGTTTAACTTTTTCGATGCTTTTTCTACATCTATTGAGATAAGTATGCTTATCTCAATAGGTGCTTTCATCACCCTTCATTCTGTTAATGTGGTGTATCCTGTTGATTGCTTTGTGTACATTAAACCAGTCTTACCTGGTGGTTCACACTGGTAATCCCAGCACTTTGGGAGGCTGAGGCGGGTGGATGACGAGGTCAGGAGATCGAGACCATCCTGGCTAACACGGTGAAACCTGGACTCTACTAAAAAAATACAAAAAATTATCCGGGCATGGTGGCGGGTGCCTGTAGTCCCAGCTACTCGGGAGGCTGAGACAGGAGAATGGCATGAACCCGGGAGGGGGAGATTGCAGTGAGCCGAAATCAGGCCACTGCACTCCAGCCTAGGCGACAGAGCAAGACTCCGTCTCAATAAAACAAACAAACAAACAAACAAACAAACAAACAAAAAACAGTGTTACCTCCCTGGAAAAATTTCCACTTGGGCTTGGTGTGTAATCTTTTAGATGTGATGTTGAATTTGGTTTGGTGCTATTTTATTGAGGAGTTTTGCATGTCTGTTCATGTTGACCTGTAGCTTGCTTTCTTGTATCTTTGTTTGGCTTTGGTATGAGGGTGATGCAGGCTTATAAAATGAGTTTGAAAATGTTTCCTCTGATTTTGTTTTTTAGATGAGTTTTTAAAAAGTTAGTATTAATTCTTTGAATGTTTGCTAGAATTTAATCAGGAAATTATCTGTTCTTGGGCTTTTCTTTGTTGGGAGATTTTTTTTATTACTACCTAAATCTCTTTGTTATTATTCTATTAAAGTATTTATTTTTAATTCAGTATTGGTAGGTTTTTTGTTTCTAAAAATGCATTTGTTTCCTCTAGATTATCCAATTTGTTGGATTATAATTATCCATAATCATCCCATATAATCTTTTTTATTTCTGAAGCACCTGTTGTAATGTCTTCTCCCTCATTTCTGATTCTATTAGAATTTTCTGTCTTTTTTAATCAGTTAGTTGAGCCAAGGTTTGTCTATCTTATTTTTTGAGAAAACAAAACTAGAAGAAATGGATAAATTCCTTGACACATACACCCTCCCAAGACTAAGCCAAGAAGAAGTCTAATCCCTGAAGAGACCAATAACAAGTTCTGAAATTGAGGCAGTAATCAGTAGCTTACCAACAACAACAACAACAAAAACAACAAAGCCCAGGACTAGACGGATTCACAGTCAAATTCTACCAGAGGTACAAAGAGGAGCTGGTACCATTCTTTCTGGAACTATTCCAAACAATTGAAAAGGAGAGACTCCTCCCTAACTCATCTAGCATCACCCTGATACCAAAACCTGGCAGAGACACAACAACAACAACAAAAAAATTCAGGCCAACATCCCTGATGAACTTCAATGCAAAAATCCTCAATAAAATACTGTCAAGCCAAATCCAGTAGCACATCAAAAAGCTTATCCACCATGATCAAGTCGGCTTCATCCCTGGGATGCAAGGCTGGTTCAGCATATACAAATCAATCAACATAGTCCATCATATAAACAGAATCAATAACAAAAACCACATCATTATCTTAATAGATGTCGAAAAGGCTGTTGATAAAATTCAACATCCCTTTATGTTAAAAACTCTCAATAAACTAGGTATTGATGGAACATATCACAAAATAATAAGAGTTATTAATGACAAATCTATAGCCAGTATCACTCTGAATGGGCAAAAGTTGGAAGCACTCTCTGTGAAAACTGGCACAAGACAAGGACATCCTGTCTTACCACTCCTATTCAACATAGTATTAGAAGTTCTGTCCAGGGCAATCAGGCAAGAGAAAGAAATAAAGGGTATTCAAATAGGACGAGAGGAAGTCAAATTGTCTCTTTTTTTTTTTTTTTTTGAGGCGGAGTCTCGCTCTGTTGTCCAGGCTGGAGTGCAGTGGTGTGATCTCGGCTCACTGCAAGCTCTACCTCCTGGGTTCACGCCATTCTCCTGCCTCAGCCTCCCAAGTAGCTGGGACTACAGGTGCCCGCCAACACATCCAGCTAATTTTTTTTGTATTTTTAGTAGACGCAGGGTTTCACCATGTTAGCCAGGATGGTCTCGATCTCCTGACCTTGTGATCTGCCCACCTCGGCCTCCCAAAGTGCTGGGATTACAGGCGTGAGCCACCACACCCGGCCAAATTGTCTCTTTTTGCAGATGACATGATTCTATATTTAGAAAACCCCATCGTCTCAGCCCAAAAACTCCTTAAGCTCTTAAGCAAATTCTGCAAAGTCTCAGGATACAAAATCAATGTGCAAAAATCACAAGCATTCTTATACACAAACAATAGACAAGCAGAGAGCCAAATCATGAACAAACTCTCATTCACAAATGATACAAAGAGAACAAAATACCTAGGAATGCAGCTAATAAGGGATGTGAAGGACCTCTTCAAGGATATCTACAAACCACTGCTCAAGCAAATAAGAAAGGACACAAACAAATGGAAAACCATTCCATACTCCTGGATAGGAAGAATCAATATTGTGAAAATGGCCATACTGCCCAAGGTAATTTACAGATTCAATGCCATCCCCATCAAACTATCATTGACATTCTTTACAGAATTAGAAAACACTACTTTAAATTTCATATGGAACCAACAAAGAGCTCATATTGCCAAGAAAATCCCAAGCAATAAGAACAAAGCTGGAGGCATCATGCTACCTGACTTCAAGCTATGCTACAAGGCTACAGTAACCAAAACAGCATGGTACTGGTCCCAAAACAGACATATAGACCAATGAAACAGAACAGAGACCTCAGAAATAACACTACACATTTACAACCATATGATCTTTGACAAACTTGACAAAAACAAGCAATGGGAAAAGGATTCCCTATTTAATAAATGGTGCTGGGAAAACTGGCTAGCCATATGTCAAAAACTGAAACTGAGACCCTTCCTTACACCTTATACAAAAATTAACTGAAGATGTGTTAAAGACTTAAATGTAAAACCTAAAACCATAAAAACCCTAAAAGAAAACCTAGGCAATACCGTTCAGGTCACAGGCATGAGCAAAGACTTTATGATGAAAATACCAATAGCAATTACAACAAAAGCCAATATTGACAAATTGGATCTAATTAAACTAAACAGCTCTGCACAGCATAAGAAACTATCATCAGAGTAACAGGCAACCTATATAATGAGAGAACATTTTGCAATCTACTGATTTGGCAAAAGTCTAATATCCAGAATCTACAAGGAATTTAAACAAATTTACAAGCAAAAAACAAACCCATCAAAAAGTGGGCAAAAGATATGAACAGACACTTCTCAAAAGAAGACATTTATGCAGCCAACAAACATGAAAAAAATCTCAACATCACTGATAATTAGAGAAATGCAAATCAAAACCACAATGAGATACCATCTCATGCAAGTCAGAATGGTGATTATTAAAAAGCCAAGAAACAATTGATGCTGATGAGGCTGTGGAGAAATAGGAATGTTTCTACACTGTTGGTGGGAATGTAAATTAGTTCAACCATGTGGAAGATGATGTGGTGATTTCTCAAGGATCTAAAGCCAGAAATACCGTTTGACCCAACAATCCCATTGCTGGGTATATACCCAAAGGAATATAAATTATTCTACTATAAAGACACATGCACATGTATGTTTATTGCAGCACTATTTACAATGGCAAAGACATGGAACCAACCCAAATGCCCATCAAAGGTAGACTGGATGAAGAAAATGTGGTACATATACACCACAGAATACTATCCAGCTATAAAAAGGAATGAGATCATGTCCTTTACAAGGACATGGATGAGGCTGGAAGCAATCATCCTCAGCAAACTAACACAGGAACAGAAAACCAAGCACGGCATGTTTTTACTCATAAGTGGGAGTGGAACAATGAGAACACATAGACACAGGGAGGGGAACAACACACACCAGGGCCAATCAGGGGGTGGGGGTGAGGGGAGGGAGGGCATTAGGACATATACCTAATGCATGCGGGGCTTAAAACCTAGATGTTAGGATGATAGCTGCAGCAAACCACCATGGCACATGTATACTGATGTAACAAACCTACACCTTCTGCACTTATATCCTGGAACTTAAAATAAAATTAAAAAAAAGAAAAACCAATTCAGTTTTGTTGATATTTTCTATAGTTTCTCTATTATCTATTTTATTATTTTCTCTGATCTTTATTGTTTCTTTCTGTTAATTTGGTTTTTTTTTTTTTCTAGTTCCTTGAGTTGCAAAGTTAAGTTGTTTATTTGAGATATATCTTTTATAGTGTAAGTATTAAGACAGCCAAATGTAAAGAAGTCCTCAGGGAAACTCCAACCGACCTGCACACCAGGAGGAGTGTGCACTGGGGTGGAGCTTCAGGAAGTCAGCATTATTTGCAGCAGGGAGGAGCCTGGCCTCTCTTTTTCTGGGGTGGAACCTGGAATTCAATCTGTGGGGTGGGAAGCCTATACTAGCAAGACTCACTCTGTGAAGAGTCCCTGTTTCCTCTTTTTTCCCTTTTGCCAAATAAATTCAATTTTTCTTACCTCTCAAAATGTCTGTGAGCCTAATATTTCATGGTTGTGTGACAAGGATCCTGTTTTTAGCTGAACTAAAGGGAAAGTCCTAAAACAGTACTAGCATTATAAAATTTCCTTTCATCATTATGTTTGCTACATCCCATTAGTTTGAATATGTTTTGTTTTCATCTTGAGATATTTATAAATCCTCTTTGGAGTTTCTCTTTGACCCAGTGCTTGTTCAAGGGCATGTTATTAATTTATACACATTTTCTCGCTGTTACTGATTTCTAGTTTTAATACATTGCAGTTTGAAAAGATATTTGATATGATTTTGTCTTCTTAAATTTTTAAGACTTGTTTTGTGACCTAATATATGATCTATCCTCAGGATTGTCTCTCATGCACTTAAAAAGAATGTGTATTCTTCAGTTGTTGGATAAAAAGTATGTATATGTCTGGTAAGTTTATTTGGTCTACAATGTTATTCAAACCTGCTGTTTCCTTATTGATTTTCTATCTGGTGGCTCTATGTATTATTAAAGGTGGAATAAAGTTGTATTTTTTACTATTCATTTCATGTGGCTTGGCTTTTTATTTCAAAGGAGACTAAATATATCTTGTAAACAAGCTCTATTAAGTGATTCTTTTCTGAATTATATTTTTCAGAAGAGTATTAAACATATAGTCGGTACTTAATATATATGTGTGTGATACTTCCAGAGATCCCTCTCAAGCTAAGAATGCAAAAACTAATGAATCTACTTGTAATTCTTTATCATTAACATGTGCTCTTTTCTAACTTATCCCATAAGAATCTCGCGTGTGTGTGTGTGTGTGTGTGTGTGTGTGTGTGTGGGTGTGGGTGTGTGTGTGCATCTGAATGTCAGAGACATTCATTATTCAATTTTAAAAGTTATTTGCTTATTCATTCAAAAGTGAATTCTTCCCTATTTATTTCACATTCTTAGCTTTTATCTCTCTAAATAGACTACGCACTACTTCTATAAATACTATTTTGTTATTGTTACCTAAACTATATACTCCAGAATAACACTAAGTTTACCATAATCAACTATAAATAGCTGTGATTTGTCACAAAAATCACATTGAATCTAAAACTGGATGATTGATAAATCTGATAACAGTACTTCTTATATCTTCTTATTAATGCATGTTAATATCTAACTATTTTACAGGAAAAAAAGGGTATGCATGTGGGTGTGTGTGTGTGTTTGCGTGTCTGTGTGTGTGTCCATTTGGACTCAAGTTGCTTACTAAAGAAGCAAAAAATGATAGAAACAAAGTAACGAGTTGAATGAACTTCAAGTTGTTTTGTTAAACTTCATACTAAACAGATATGAACAGTGAGAGCTAAAGGTACAAGACTAGTGATATTTCAAGTTCTAAACAACAATGTAGTTGCTATTCTAAATGCATTTTTAAATAATATAATGTAATGCACACTATAAAAAAATCCCAAAAGACAATCCCTCTTTTTCTTTGGAGTCTCTCTCTGTCACCCAGGCTGGAGTGAGGTGGCATGATCGCCTCTCACTGCAACCTCCACCTTCCAGGTTCAAATGATTCCCCTGCCTCAGCCTCCCAAGTAGCTGGGACTACAGGCATATGTCATTATGCCTGGCTAATTTTTTGTATTTTTAGTGGTGACGGAGTTTCACTGTGTTATCTAGGATGGTCTCCATCTCCTGACCTCGTGATCCGCCTGCCTCAGCCTCCCAAAGTGCTAGGATTACAGGCGTGAGCCACCGCACCTAGACCAACAATCCTCTTATATTGTTGCTTTTCTAAAAATTTTCAGGTATTGTTATTAAAAATAGAGGAGTGAATTAATTTAAGAAAAAATATAGTGTTGTTATAAAGAACCGTAAGTGGATCTTTTATTTCAAAGCTAATTACACCATAGAATAGGTTTTCTCCATAACTCATTATTGTTCCTATGGCAATGATTTATTATTTTATGTTTGTATATATAACATCTGAGAATCTAGTAATTAGTTCACCTCTTTGTTATATTTTTTCCATGAAGATTTTCATATGTTTAGAAAAGAAAAAAGAGGCAAATATATCTGTTAGCTTCTCAAATATAAATCAAGATTCCTTTTAAGGTCATCAGCACTCACAAATGATCTGATAGTCCCAAATAAATACAACTTTTGCTCTGATTATACAAATAAGCAAAGATCAAATAATATGTTTCTTATTGTTAAGAAAGGCACACACTTCAAATTATTATATTTGAAGAATGTTGCTATCTTTTGAATCAGAATGATTAGATATATAAGTAAAATAAAATATCATTGTATTCAGAAACATCACTTTTACTTGGAAAGACAGTGGAGTGGTGTTGCCAAGGTTTTCAATGAGAACTGTCAAATTAGGCATTTCACATGCAAACTTCTCATAATTTAACGTTTGTATCTTGAAAGTATACAGGATCACAGAAGCTAAATGTAGAGGTTCACTAGAATGATTCCAATCTAAAGCCTTTAAATGATTTTAAAGCTCTTTTATAAAGGGTGACTGAATAATATGCCCAAGGCTCCCTATATCCTGGGAAATTTAATATCTATGAGGTATTTAAAAAAGTAATATTTACTTCTCACAACTGCAAATCACTCATGTAGAAGTCTTATAGAAAATAGAACAATAGTGAAAATTGTCTGCTGAATATAGTCTCTGAACTATGGGAATCTTATTGAAAATAAATGGAAATTCAGAAGTACACATACCCTAGGTCTCCATAAATTATACTTACAAACCGAGAAGGAACCATATTGAATGCAACTCTGCTTGCTCTCTAATTATAATCTCATTGTACCAATGTCAATTCACCTGTTATGAAGTGATACAGTTATATATGATGTTACCACTGAAGAATAAAATGAATGGTACAAAGGACATCTGTGTGCTATTGTTAAAACTTCTTGTGAATATTTAACTATCATAAAATAAAAATAGTTTTTATAAAACCAAAAATGACAGTAGCAATAACAAAGCTATTTCATTAATTAATGGAA
Organism: Homo sapiens; assembly: GCF_000001405.40. Classification (NCBI taxonomy): domain Eukaryota; kingdom Metazoa; phylum Chordata; class Mammalia; order Primates; family Hominidae; genus Homo; species Homo sapiens. The sequence goes on from NC_000010.11 coordinate 56,135,563, forward strand.
AGAGTTTTATAACCATAGAGTATAAGCAAGGTTCAAAATAATTTATGATATTTAAATATTTCTCTGGAATTTTTCTCCAGAATTTTTCTCCTTCTAAACTCAAATGCCAGCTTATCTGGAGCATCATCTACAAATGGGCAGCTCTATGAATCTTAGCGTTTGGGACTAGGTGTTGAGGATTAGGATGTGAATGCTATTTGTAAATTAGAAAATGTTTTCCAAATAGTGTTTATTATTATTATTATTAATGGTATTGATAGGCAGACAGACCTGAAGTTTGTGTAGTGGTTTGTTAAACAGACTTGGAGTAAAATACAATTTCCGGCAGTAGAGGCAGCCCCTGTAACAGTAGATGTGTAAGAGAACTGGGGATACACTATGAATCTTAAATATCTCTGTACTGCGCAACACAGAGTGGGCACAGACAAAACTGTGAAAGGAGGAAGTATCGGCTGTGGTGAGTGAGGGATTTATCAACAAAAGCTGTCAGCAGTTTAACATAGCCTCGGCTCATTTAAGAGTTAACATAGTCTGCTAATCCATTTACAATTTGCATGTCATTTTCAACACTCTCATAAACTGCTAGGAGATATGTAAATTGATGCATTTTTTTTGTTAACTGGAAAATGAATTAAAGACCATAGTATTTTTAATAATCTACATTGAATAGTTATGCTCCTAAAGATTTATCCTGAAAGCAAACCAAAGCAAATAATTTTTTGAAGTTATCTAAAAAAGCAGAAAATGTATATTCATCCAGATATGAAATGCAGAGTTAGTTATAACAAGAAAAAATAAAAACACATGTCAAAAATAGAGTTTATGTTGTAAGCTAAATAATGGCCCCAAAGATGTCAATGTCCTAATCCTCAAAACTGTTAACATGATCTCTTGCATGGTAAAAGAAATTTTGCAGAAATTAAATTAAGAATCTTGAAATGGGGAAATTATCTTGTATCATCCTATTTGGTTGGCCTAATGTATTGAAAAGGGTCCTTATGAGGGGGAAGGCAGGAGATCACAGGGAATTGAAAATGCAACCCTGCTGACTTTGAAGACTGAAAGATCATGAACTAAGCAACACAAGTTCTCTACGGAAATTGGAAGTGCAACGAAACAGATTCCTCTACAGCCTCCAGAAGAAATGCCACTCTGCAGTCCCCACTGTAATCCTTTGACCTCCATAACTGCAAGATAATATATTAATATTTGTATTGCTTTAAGTCACTAAGGTTTCTTTGTAATTGGCTATTGGTTATGTGAGAGTCTGTGGTCACAATACATTGTTAATAGAACCTTATTTAATTATATGACACTATGTTTATAATACAAAGCCAAGTGAAAAAAGAAATCTAAATGTTGATTATAGCAATGTTAATAGAAAACATTACAGATAGAAACCTGGAAACTTACTATAATATTGTATTTATAATTGAGTAGTAGAATAACGAGCATTTAAAGTTTATTCTTTATATTTATTTTTCTCTAAGAAATAATTATTTACATTAAATAATACAGTAGATCTTGCATAGCTTTTTATGGCACTTAAGAGGAGACTAAAGCTGTTTGGTTGGTCTGTTGTTGAATTGATTATTTTTCAGTTGAGCCTTTCCGACTCCTTTCTAATGAGATGATTTAGGTACCTGCTATGGTTTGGATGTTTGTCTCCTCAAAACCTCATGTTGAAATTTGACCAGTGTTGGAGGTGGGGCCTGCTGGGAGGTGTTTTGGTTAAATTCCTCATGAATAGATCATGCCCTCTCTCAGAAGTAAGTGAGTTCTTTATTGGTTTCTTCAAGAGCTGGTTGTTCAAAGGAGACTGGCATGTCACCTCTCGGTCTTTTCTCCTTCCTCACTGTGTGATTTCTGCACAACACAACTCCCCCTCACCTTCTGTCATAAAAATAATCAGCCTAATAAGGCTTTCACGAGATGCAAGTGCCCAATCTTGAACTTTCCAACCATTATAATCATGATCCAAATAAAGCTTTTTTTTTAAATAAATTGTCCAGCCTCAGATATAAAGCAACACAAAACAGACTAAGACTGTACCTGACCACTTCAATTAAAAAAAAGTCTAGCCTTACTTGTAGGGAATTGAGGTACTAAATATATTAAAGTTTATTCGATCTTCTTTGGTGGGTGCTTTTTTAAACTTTACTATCAGTGTATTTCCAGGCCTAGCCAAAATGACATTTCTACTGTAATTACGTATAACTTATTTTCCCAGAGGTGACAGATTTCTACCAAATAAATAACCTACTTCTTATAATACACATTTATTTTTCAGAAATTAAAGCTAGAAATTGTAGCATTCTGAAACTTGAAAAAAATAAATGAGGATGCTGAGACTTAAGAGGTTAATTTACTTGGCCCAGGATTCTTGTTCTTTTTTGTTTTGTTTTTTTTTTTTTTGAGATGGAGTCTTACTCTGTCACCCAGGCTGGAGTGCTGTGGCGTGATCTCAGCTTACTGCAACCTCTGCCTCCTGGGTTCAAGCAATTCTCCTGCCTCAGCCTCCTGAGTAGCTGGGATTACAGGTGCCAGCCACTATGCCCAGCTAATTTTTTGTATTTTTAGTAGAGATGGGGTTTCTCCATGTTGGTCGGGCAGGTCTCGAACTTCTGACCTCATGATTTCCCGCTTGGGCCTCCCAAAGTCCTGGGATTACAGGTGTGAGCCACCAGGAAGCTCTTCTACTAAGTATTATAAGATGCTCTGACTCTTGCAACACTAGCTAGTGATAAGAAGTAGGGAAGGAAGTAAGAGGTGTGACTGAAATCTAGGCCAGGCTAAAAAAGATTATGAACTTTAACTTAAACAAGGCTTAACTTAAACAAGGAGAGCATTTAGCAGAATTTGGTTATATTCGCTTTCCTATGATTTCCCCATTTTAAGTGGATGCTACGACATTGGCAAATTCACTGAGTGGCAAAGTTTTGCTAATGTAGATTCCAGGCCATCTCATCTTTACCTTAATTGACTAGAAATTTCAGCCAAAGCATTTGGACACATTATGCTACTAGGCAAAATCACTAAATATTGTATTCCACCTTTCCACTGAATGAGATTTGTAAATAAATGAATAAAAAACATGTTTTAGTTATGTTTCGGAAAAAAATTTTACTCCTTAAACTTACTTAAAATGTCTTGCATAATTTATTCTTATAATTTCTATAGGTTAGTTTATTTTAATTGTTTAAATATTGGAATTTTCTGATAATGTTTTTTGTTTTTCAATTCTGTTCCTAGTAACCGAATAGTAAATAAATTTTACAAGTGTTTGAGAAAGCTAAAAATAAATATTTTTCTAATGCAATATCAGCTTCTTTTATACTTTTATCAAAGTAAAATATAATGAAGTACTTATAGTTAAAATGGGTAACTAAATTTTGCCATTATTACTGCCATGACACACATATATTTTGGTCAGACATGTTTTGTTTGACTATTATTCATGTTTTATAAAAATTAGGCCAGTTTTAAAAATCAGGAAATTTCACATAGTATATTCATACACTTCACATAATTTAGATTTCAGTTTTTTAAATAGTTAAAATTCCTCGCAACATATGACTCACAATGAAGGATGGCCACAATCAGAAGAATTTGAAGAAAGTTCTGTTTTAAAGAAACATATGCATGCATGCACACAGAAATTTCCCTCAAAGCCCAGCAATTATACAACACACGCAGACACATGTATGCACAATTTATTATCTGCTATATCCTTGTATGTTACGGACCTTATAAATGTTTATATTTGGCATCTTTAGGGGTTCACAGTAAATAGAGATATAAAAGTAAAGGGAGATTTGCAAAGGGGATTTGTAAAGTTTTCAAATAAAAACTCGCCTTTTTTCACAATTTTGTAAGTATCATTCTTCATTTGTCAGGAAGCATCAGACATGGATTGATATTTGCAGAGAGCTGACACTATGTCTCTCAAATGGGCTTAGAAACGTTCTGTAAACAAGGAGTTAGACTATTATTGTATCTTTATTTATTCTTTTTAGTTTGATCAAGTGTTGACATTGCCTTCAGGCTCTGACCTTTCAATTCGCCAAATAGACAAGCAGGAGGTTAACTGCAGGGCTTTCTGGGGCTTTTTATTAGCAATGGCCATTTATGGTACACAGTATTAAAGTAGTTGGCAAAAATGGTATGGCTTTTCTCAATTGTACGTTTAGTAACACTTAGCCAGCACATGATAGTCAATAATTTACTGGAAAAAAAGCTATAAAAACCTATAAAGGTGACAATTTCTTAACTACAAAGTAAAGTTCACTAAATGTACACTGCAAAAGGCAGAAGCGTCCAGGCATTTGAAGAAACAGATGATATACATTTATTTTAAAGTAAAGGGGAATGCCATTTGACAGAGGCTCCAGGGTGGCAGCTATATTTCTGCAGAGTGGAGTTTGCTATAAGAGCTTCACTGACTGGAATTAAGTGATAATTATATTATAAGAAAATGTATAATATATACCATCAACACTAACAAAAATGGTTTATTTCATAAAATAAATATATTTAGGAAGAAAAACAATCAGCCTGACATCTGCATTTTTAGTTAGTTTACATAGCATTTTCATTTATAATTTCCCATTTCATGTAATTCTCATAAGACTTTAAAAGAAAAAGAGAAATTTTTACTTTGGAAATGTACTTTCCAAAAACAAAACCATTACAAAAATTATTCAAAATGTACAAAAAGAGAAAAATAAATTACTGGGTGTTCTTTCAGTGAGGTGCTGGGAGACTTTGTGTTATCTATTCTATATTACGGTTCTTCAGGATCAGTAACTCTGAGATTTTCACTTAGTAGAGATGCAAATAATTTATGTCCAGTGGAACAGACAATTCCACTGATAATAGTTTATGGTATTTTGAATATTAACCAGTTTTGTATCCAACCAATAATGATATTCTAACGTTACCCATAAACATTTTGTTTCAAAACTTCTTTTTGGAATATTTTGAACATCTTAGGAATTCATTAATTAATGTGTTGCATAAAATATTTGGTATATGTTGTCTTATATGTGCATGATTTTACCTTTTAGAAAATTATACGTTAAAGGTTCATATTTACATAAGACTAGTAGTATGTCAACTTGTAATACTAAAATCTTTAGGACTCTGGTGACTTCTGGCCTTTATAAACTTTGACAAATGTATTCACTTCCAGCATTCTTGCTTTCTACATTATGAAATAAGATGGATGATATCATATATATATACAGACACCATTCTCCTCTCAAAAATGTTATGATATTGTGATTCTAAGTGCTCTATTTGAATAAGGTTGTCCTTACTAAGCCATGGTGAAACAAGTAAAAACCCAAATAATCTTTCTTAATCATGGAAAGGAAACATCTAAGATTTAAGTTTATGCTGCTCTTTGAATTTCTCTTATGTAATCCATGGGGCTACAGTTTACACTGAAAAAATAATAGCTACACAAAACTGACAAAAGAAACAATCAAAGTGGCTGAATCTTTCCAGCCCCATTATTGGTAAATCATAGAATCAATGTCCCTTTTATATTGCTCTTTATTATTCAGTGTTTCCAGTTGTTTGAGATTCTCAGATAGTTAAAGCATGACGGCAAAACTTCTTATGTTATCATTTCTTGTACCTCTTTTCTTTTCTTTTCCTTTTTTTTTTTTTTTTTTGAGACGGAATTTTGCTCTTGTAGCCCAAGCTGGAGTTCAATGGCGTGATCTTGGCTCACCTCAACCTCCACCTCCCAGGTTCAAGTGATTCTTCTGCCTCAGCCTCCCAAGTAGCTGGGATTACAGGCATGCACCACCATAACTGGCTAATTTTTTATTTTTAGTAGAGACGGGGTTTCTCCATGTTGGTCAGGCTGGTCTTGAAGTCCCGACCTCAGGTAATCTGCCTCCCTAGGCCTCCCAAGTGCTGGGATTACAGGCGTGAGTCACCACGCCTGACAAGTTTCATTTCTTAAAGCTTTCGTTTTAAATTCAGAATATTACCAAAGGATGACGAGGTAGAGATTAGCCTAAATTCTGCAGGTTAACTTTCTGTGATGGTCACCAATTTAGCTTTGTAATCATTTTACTTAACAGTTTTTCTGATCCTGAGATTTAAGTCTGACCACATTCAATGCCAAAAGTTCGAGTACAAATTTATAGATATATGAAGAGAGAGAGAGAGAGAAAACACTTGCTATCAAGAGCTTGAAATACAGGTTAAGGAGAAGTCTGTTTACAGGCTACTAGGCTACTTAGCTGGTACAGTATGATTTTGCTCTCATTGACTATCCCTAAGAAACTGCATTCTGTGATATTGAAATAACTTTAAGGAAAAATAAATCTTCAGGATTTATTTTTAAATAAATTTAAAGAATTTAAATTTAAATTTAAAACTACAAAGTAGTTTTCTTTAAAATAAGTACATTAAATATTGTACCTTTTAAGTTTTCTAACTATAAATAGAATAATGTGGTAAATTGAGGATTAAATGAGGGGATATGTGGAAAGCATTTAACTAGTTAGCACAATAATAATACAATCTATGCATTCAAAAATGGTGGTGATGGTGGTGGTGGTTGCTGCTGCTGCTATTATTAAATTTTACCAGGTTGTAGTCTCTGTGCTGCTTTACTTGCATTTTCTTATTTCATTCTATAAATAACCCTGGAGGGAGGTACTTTCACCATCCTCAATTCATGAGTGCAAAACTGAAATGAAGAGAAGTGAAAAGAGTTAAAGTAATTTACCTAAAGTCACACAGCTGGTGACTGGCAGTGCCAGAATTAATACGCTTTTGGAGTCAGATTTCATGAGTTTGAAATTTTGACATGATTTTTTTTTTTTGAGGAAGTGGTAGGCAGCCTCCAGATGTCCCTCAAAGATTCTTATTTTGTGATATTGATCTTTTGTGTAGTCATCTTGCTCACTGAATAAGACCAACCTGTGTAACCACCAGTATACCATGTAAAGAACAGGATATGACTTCTGAAGCTAGTCCACACAAGTGCTTTTGGTGTTGAGTCTAAAAACTTATTACCTAACTGCAAGTCACATAGACTTGCTCCTATGTTTAGTTCTCAAAATTTTATACCTTTACTTTCTATATTTAGGTCTATGATCTGTACTGAGTTGATTTCTGTGAAAGATGCAAGCTTAGTGGTGTCTACGTTCATTTTTTTGGCTTATGAATTTGGAAGATTTCCCTCAGATTTTGTTTTCTGGAAGTTATTGTAGATAATTATTTGGTATCTTTTTTTTTTTAACTTAAACTTTAAAGTTAAATTCAGCAGTGAAACCAACTAGGCCCAGTAATTTTTGTGGGGAAAGGTTATTATTTATTGATTCAATTTCATTAGTAGGTATAGACTTCTTCATATTACTTATATACCTTTGTGTGAGTTAATAGTAATTGACTTTGAGGAACTGGTCCATTTCATCAAAATTATCAAAATTCTCACAAAGAGTTATTCAGAATATTCTTTCATTGTTATTTTAATTAATGCCCATGGTATCACTAGTAATGGCCCCGATCTCATTTCTGATATTAATAACTTACATGTTGATGCTTTTTGTTTTGTTTAACTTGGTTAGAAGCTTATCGACTTACCCTTACATAAAAACAGCTTTGGGATTTCTCAATTTTCTCTACTGATTTTATGTCTTCAATTTCACTGATGTCTGTTATATATATATTTTTATTATGCTTACTTTAGGCTTACCTTGCTCTTTTTTCTCTAGTTTCCTAAAATAACATAATACTGATTTTGTTTCTTTTTAAAAATATGTCTTCAATGCTATAAATTTCCTTTTAAGCACTGCTTTTGCTGCATCCCACAAATTCTGAAAACTTGTGTTTCATGTCTGTATAGTTAAAAACATTTTAAAAATATATTTTAGGGCTTTTCTTTAAGAAAAATCTGTGTGTTATTTAAAGTGTGTTGTTTGATTTCCAAGTATCTGGGGATTTTCTAGCTATTTTTTTCTGATATTTATTTCTATTTTAATTCCATTGTGATTTCATAAACTACTTTATTTTTATTATTTTAATAATTTCAAGTAGTATTTATTTACATACAGTGCGATCTACCATAGTGAATGTCCAGTCTCTCTTTCTTCTACTCTTGTGAACCAGTTATCTATGTTTCCCTTTTGAAAATTTTGTAGTTTTTGGATGTGCTGGTCTGGTTCAATTTTCACTCTTCTTTTTTCCTCTTTACATTTTCACTTGTGAAGTTTCTATTGACCTATTTTTTTTTTTCGAGAAGAGTCTCTCGCTCTGTTGCCCAGGCTGCAGTGCAGTGGCACGATCTCAACTCACCGCAAGCTCAGCCTCCCGGGTTCGCACCATTCTCCTGCCTCAGCCTCCCAAGTAGCTGGGACTACAGGTGCCTGCCACCACGCCTGGCTAATTTTTTGTATTTTTAGTAGAGACAGGGTTTCACCGTGTTAGCCAGGATGATCTCAATCTCCATTGACCTATTTTTAAACTCACTGATTCTTTCCTCAACTATGTCCAGTCCACTGCTGAGTACATTAAAGACGTTCTTCATTTGTTTTTTGTTTTTTTCTAGCATTTTCTTTGATTCTTTCTTAAAGTTTTCATCTCTTTTCTTACATTACCTGTTACTGTGTGTTGTCTACATTTCTATTGCAGCCCCTAATATGTTAATCTTAGCTATATTAAATCCCCTTTATGGTAATTCCAACATCTGTCTTATCTAACTCTGGTTCTGATATTTGCTTTTTCTCTTAAGAATATATATTTTCTGATGGTAGTTTCTTTTGCTGTGCAGAAGCTCTTTAGTTTAATTAGATCCCATTTGTCAATTCTGGCTTTTGTTGCCATTGCTTTGACTGTAAACTAGTTCAACCATTGTGGAAGACAGTGTGGCGATTCCTCAGGGATCTAGAACTAGAAATACCATTTGACCCAGCCATCCCATTACTGGGTATATACCCAAAGGAATATAAATCATGCTGCTATAAAGACACATGCACACATATGTTTACTGCAGCACTACTCACAATAGCAAAGACTTGGAACCAACCCAAATGTCCAACAATGATAGACTGGATTAGGAAAATGTGGCACATATACACCATGGAATACTATGCAGCCATAAAAAATGAAGAGTTCAGGTCCTTTGTAGGGTCATGGATGAAGCTGGAAACCATCACTCTCAGCAAACTATCACAAGGACGAAAAACCAAACACCACATATTCTCACTCAGGTGGGAATTTAATAATGAGAACACTTGGACACAGGAAGGGGAACATCACACACCAGGGCCTGTCGTGGGGTGGAGCAGGGGGAGGAGGGTTAGCATTAGGAGATACACCTAATGTAAATGATGAGTTAATGGGTGCAGCACACCAACATGGCACATGTATACATATGTAACAAACCTGCACGTTGTGCACATGTACCCTAGAACTTAATGTATAATTAAAAAAAAGTTTAAAAAGAATATATTTTTTCTTTCCTTTGTCTTGCCTTCTTGCTGTGTCTTAACAGTTTTTATTGAAATCTAGACATGATGTATTGTGTAATAGGAACTAAGGTAAATAGGTCCTTAGTGTGAGACTTTATGATAATTTGGCTCAGAGTTGGCCTGTGTTTAATGTTTGCTGTAGCTATAAGTGACAGATTCTTCTAGTGTCCTTGTTTTTGCCTCTTCTATTAACTTTTGGCTTCCCTAAGTACTCATGCCCAAAGATAAGCTGTGTCTTGCAATTATTTTAGCTGTAATCTACTGTTATTACACTGGAGTGCTGTTGTTATGATGGTAAGGTTTGGGGGATTATAGAATTTTAAAATTCTATAATCTTAAAATTTTATGTCAATGTTTTAGTGAGCTTGTGCCATATAGACTGTGACCTTCATCAGTGTTTTTTAGCCTCTCCATCCCTGAAGATGACACAGGAATTTCACAGGGGTCTGGTGAGGCAAAAACACATTCTCCTGGGAGGAATAAGACTGGAAAAGTACTTTCCTCAGTTGAGTAAGCATTTGTTATGGAGTGTGCTCTGGGCATATTTCATTCTTGTTTTTGTTTGTTTAATTTTTTAATCTGTACATGAATTCTGATAATAGCTTTATTTGTAATGACAAAAACCTGTAAACAATCTGAATGTCTTTCAAAGGGTGAATGGTTAAGCAAACTCTGGCAAACCCAAGCAATGGAATACTACTCAGCCATATAAAGGAATGAACTATGGATACATGGAGCAACCTGAATGAATCTTAAAGACATTAGACTGAGTGAACATAGTCAATCTCCAAAGGTTACATATTGTATGATTCCTTTTATGTAGCATCCTGGAAATGATAAAAGTGTGGAGATGAAGAACAGATTAGTTGTTGCCAGGGGTATAGTGTCAGTCTAAGTCTGAAGGCTTGAGAACCAGGAGATCCATTGGTATAACATCTATACTAAATCCATGTATAGAGACAGAAGATTTACGTTCCAGATCAAAGACAATCCAACAGAAAAAGAGTGAATTCTCCATTACTCTACTATCGTTCTATTCAGGCCTTCAATTGATTGGATGAGGCCCATTCACATTGGAGAGAGCTATCTGCTTCCTCATTCTGCCAATTAAAGGGTTAATCTCATCCAGAAACACCCTCGTAGACACCACAGACACTGAGGATGATGTTTAAAATATTTGGGTTCCTTGTGATACAGTCAAGATGACACACAAAATTAACCACCACATGGTATAAAATTAACCAGCACACATAAGTATAAGACCATCACTGATCTTAATCAGTTCCCAATTTCTACCTACCATTCTTTGAGCTATTGCTATCATTAATTTATTTTTATATGCTGAAAACACACAATACCTTACTACTATTCTTGCTGCAGATAGTTAATTACCTTTATGATAATAAAAGTTAAAAAAAAGTTACCTTCATGTGTTACATTTTGAATTTTCTTTATTACTTGATAGAAAAATACATGACTCCTATAATATTTCTTCTGAGTGAATAACTTCCTTTAACGTGTTTGGCATGGTTAGTTTTCTAGAAAATAATTCTCTTTTTTTCTAATATTGTGTAATCTTGCCTTCAGCTTTTAGTATGTTTTTATGCTATACTTCAGAGAGGAATTTTCTCTACATTCTCTATGTCTCAGAAATACCCCACCAAAATGTGTTATGTGATGCTTATTAGTGGTGGTGAGACATATTTACTAATTTATTATGTTTTTATTTATTGTTGTTTTTTGGTTTGTTCCTGATTAAGCCTCATTCTTAGGCAGAAGCTCTGTTTCCATGTCTCAGCGAGGTATCCTTCACATTTCACTTTGTTCTCCTCAGCTGTGGTTCTGGACTCAGCATGTATTTCTGCCTCTCCCTAGGGGTCAGAGTTAATTTTTATGTTCTCTTTTATCAAGGTGACAGTATGTATTGTTCTTCTCAACACAGTTTAAGGCCTTTGTTTTCTAGAGACATAAGGGAGAGGGAATTGGATGCATTTCATTTATTTCCCATAGTAGCTCTTGTTCCCCCTTGGGCCTGTACTATAAGACTCAACAATCTTTTCTTGAACACCTGGTGAACTCCATAGAAAAGAGCCAGGAAAGAGCATGTGAAGTTCCCTTGTAACTGTGGCCCCATGAATTCTGTACTCGCTTGCTAACCCACATTTGGCCTGTGTCAAATGGTTAACTGAATAGTGGAATTCTTCTTTCTAGTGTCCAACTGCAACCACCCTTGGTCAGCAAGTGTTCATATTCTAACTCCTCTTGTAGGCACAAGTGATTTTTTGATTTTTAAGTAGTTGGTTGCCTTGTGACATTAGCTCTCTAATCTCTAGAATAGTTGTCATAGAATATTGACAATAAGGCTTTTTATTGTTGTCATTGCATGTGGGAGCTAGCTTCTTTCCAGATTTCTAAATTCCCAAGCATAATCCAAAAATGTAATTTTTATTTTTTAACAGTGCATGTGTGTGTGTCAGAGAGAGAGATAAGAGGTTTTTGGTTTTTTGTTTTTTTTTTGAGTCAGAGTCTCACTGTCACCCAGGCTGGAGTGCAGTGGCACAATCTTGACTCACTGCAGCCTCTGTCTCCTAGGTTCAATCGATTCTCCTGCCTCAGCCTCCCGAGTACCTGGGATTACAGGTGTGTGCACCACCATGCCCGGCTAAGTGTTGTATTTTTAGTAGAGACAGGGGCTCACCATTTTGGCCAGGCTGGTCTCAAACTCCTGACCTCAAATGATCTGCCGGCCTCAGCCTCCCAAAGTGCTGAGATTACAGACATGAGCTACAGCACCCGGCCCAAGAGGTATGTTTTCTAAATCATTGTCAGCAATAACTTCAATAAAAAATGGGAAATAGATACTGTCATTACAAACAAGGAACAACTGACATTTAAGGGGGCAACTGCAAAACACACACTTACACCTGACTTGATGGCTGTCTGTGAACATACAAGGTGATGGTTAACAATATTATCCCTCAGGAAACTGAAGATACAACAGTAATACAAGAGTTGTTTAACTGATGTTAATAATGAAGATTATGAGTCAATTTCTTTACTTTTTGTAGTCATCTTTAGTATCTGTCATGGTAATACATATTCACAAAGATGATGAAAGAACAATCTGTGTCTTCATGAGATTACAGTTAAACATAAGAGTTGTTCATATAAACATCTCAAGTATAATATGGTGCCTCATAGAGTTTTTACATGAATTGAAACAAATTGAGAAAGGAAAACCTTAATCTACAGTGCCCATATGGGTCAAAGTGCCCAGGAAAATCTCACTTTACAAGAGGTGCCACAATGTCATTTTTAATGACTCCCTTTTACTCTTTACATAGCCTAGTTTAGATGATATTACATGGTCACTATACTTTATTCAACATGAGACCTTGGCTGTTCTTGAAAAATGACTAAGATTTGTGTAATTGAAGGAAACCCGATGGTATAGTTGGGAAAGGATGTAGTCATAAGAGAAGCATGGAACATCATGGTTATGCTTTATTTAATCAATAGAGTCCAAATGATATGATGACATTAAGGAAGATCAAGTTTGTGAAATAGAGAAGTGGGAGATTTTTAAGGATCTTTTATATTGGACTAGTTATGATTTTTCTATATACTAAACATAAATAGTTTAAAAATGAAATTAGAGAGACACATGGTCACATTAATATTATGGATCAACCATTTTACAGGTATGCAGAAGTTGGGTTTAAATTATTTTGCCTATATAAAGATAGAAAATGAACTCAAAACTCAAATACAGAAACAACCACCATAGAAATCCATTAAAGTATAAAACTCACAGAAACAACAAATACACAAACGAGAAAAAAAAACTATCATTACAGAAGCACTCTAAATTGTAAGAGTAAACAATAAAAGATAAAGAAAAGAACAAAAGATATACAAAATAATCAGAAAAAGATTTAGAAAATAACAGTAAATCCTATTATTGATAACATCATTGAATGTAAATAGTCTAAATTCCCCAATTAAAATAAGAGACTGACTACATGGGGTTTTGTTTAAATAAAAACCCAACTATATGCTGCCTATAGGAAACTCACTTTACCCATCAAGACACATATAGATTGAAAGTGAAGAGATGGCAAATATACTCTACATAAAAATAAATAAAAAGCACGCAGAAGTAGCTATAGTTGTATCAGAAAAAAACAGACTTTATGTCAAAAATATAAACAGAGACAAAGAAGATCATTATATTGACAAAGAGATTGATTCTTTTTTTTATGAACCAACTATACTTTTTTATTGCTGAAAGATTGATTCTTTAAGAGGATATAATAATTATAAATATACATGCACTCAACACCAAAGCATCCAGACATAAATAGCTAATATTATTAGCGCTAAAGGCAGATACAGACCTCAGTAGGATAATAGCTGGGGACTTCAACACCCCACTTTCACCATTGGACAAATCACAGAAAATCAACAAAGAAACATCAGATTTAATCTGTGCTGTAGACAAAATAGACCTAATAAAAATTTAAAGAATGTTGTGTTCAACACCTACAGAATGTACATTTTTTTCATCAGCACATAAACATCCTCCAGAACTGTATTAGTCCATTCTCAGGCTACTAATAATGACATACCTGAGACTGAGTAATTTATAAAGGAAAGAGGTTTAATTGACTCACAGTTCCACATGGCTGGGAAGGCCTCACAATCATGGAAGAAGGAGCAAAGTCACTTCTTACACAGCAGCAGGCAAGAGAGCTTGTGCAGGGGAACTCCCATTTATAAAACCATCAGATCCCATGAGACTTATTCATTACTAAGAGAACAGTATGGAGCAAAACCACCCCTGTGATTCAATTATCTCCACCTGACCCCACCTTGACATGTGAGGATTATGACAATTTAAGGTGAGATTTTGGTGAGGACACAGCCAAACCATATCATTCTGCCCCTGGCTCCCCCCAAATCTCATGTCTTCACATTTCAAAACCAATCATGCCTTCCCAACAGTCACTCAGAGTCTTAACTCATTTCAGCATTAACTCAGAAGTCCACAGTCCACAGTTACATCTGAGACAAAGCAAGTCCCTTCTGCCTATGAGCTTATAAAATCAAACACAAGTTAGTTACTTCCTAGATACAATGGGGGCACAGGCAATGGGTAAATACACCCATTCCAAAAGGGAGAAATTGGCCAAAACAAAGGGGCTACAGGCCCATGAAAGCCTGACATCCAGTGGGGAAGTCAAATCTTAAAGCTCCAAAACGATCTCCTTTGACTGTTGGTGGATCTACCATTCTAGGGTCTGAAGGATGATCACCCTCTTCTCACAGCTCCATTAGGCAATACCCCAGTGGGGACTCTGTGTGGGGGCTCTGACCCCTCATTTCCCTTCTGCACTGCCCTAGCAAAAGTTCTCAATGAGGGCTCTACTCATGCAGCAAACTTTTACCTGAACATCCAGGCATTTCCATACATCCTCTGAAATCTAGGCGGGAGTTCCCAAACCTCAACTCTTGACTTCTGTGCACCTGCAGGCTCAACATCACATGGAAGCTGCCAAGGCTTGGGTCTTTCAACCTCTGAAGCAACAGCCTGAGTTCTATGTTGGCTCTTTCAGCCATGGCTGGGACACAGGGCACCAAGTCCCAAGACTGTGCAAAGCAACAAGGCCTTGGATTTATTACAGGCATGCAAAGATAGTTCAATGTAACCAATTAATAAATGGATACATCACATCACGCAGAATGAAGGATAAAAATCATATGATTATCTCAATAGATTCAGAAAAATATTTGATAAAATTCAACCCTTCATGATAAAAACTCAACGAATTAGGCATAAGAGAAACATACTCCACCATAATAAAGACTATATGACAAACTATAACTAACATTGTATTGAATGGGGAAACCTGAAAGCCTTTCTCTAAGCACTGGAATAAGAAAAGTATGCTCACTTTCAACATTCTTATTCAACATAGTGCTGGCAGTCCTGGCCAGAACATTCAAGGAAGAAAAAGAAATAAAAGGACATCCAAATTGAAAAATAGAAAGCCAAATTGTCTCTCTTTGCAGATGACATGACTTTAGATTTAAAAAAAAACCCTAAAGATTCCAGAAAAATATGCTTTTATTTGATAAACAAATTAAGTAAGTTTGCAGGATATAAAATCAACATTTTAAAATCAGGAGCAATTCCGTAAAATAATAACAAAGTAGCTGAAAAAGAAATCAAGAAAGTGATTTTATTTACTCTGGATGCAAAAACAATCTAGAATTAAATTTAACCAATTGAGTGAGCAATCTCTACAAGAAAAACTACACAACTGATTAAATAAAAATGGAAGAGGACACAAACAAGTGGAAAGACATCCTATGCTAATACATTGGAAGAATTGTGTAGTAAAAAGTGACCATGCCACCTAAAGCAATCTGTAGATCCAATGGAATTGCTGTCAAAATACCAATGACATTCTCCACACAAATAGAAAAACAATCCTGAAATTTGTATGCGGTTTATATCACACAAATCCCAAGCCCAGGCAGCGCAACTTGCAGCTTCAGAAGAGATTCCTTACTTATACTTGAAGTGCGGAGAGGCCAGAGTAAAGAGGACTTGGCTTTGCAACTTGGATAACAGCTGCCCCACAGTAGAACAGGGCACCAAGCAGAGTCCTGAGGCCTCCATTCCAAGACCTAGCTCCTAGGTAACATTTCTAGACATATCCTGGCCAGAAGGGAACCCACTGCCTTGAAAGGATATACCCAGTTCTGGCAGGATGACCTGCTGACTAAAGAGTTCTTGGCCCTCAAATAAACATCAACGATACTTAGGCAGTACTCACTGCAAGCCTTGGGTGTGACCCAGTGCTGTGCTGGCTTCAAGTGTGACTCCGCATATTCCTAGCTGCGGTGGCCATGGGGAGAGGACCCTTTCTGCTTCTGAAAAGAATAGAAAAGAGTAAACAAGACTTTGTCCTGCAGTTTGGGTACCAGCTCAGTCACAGTGGATAGAGAACCAAATATGCTCCTGGATCCCGAATTCCAAGCCTTGGTTCCTGGAAGGCAATTATAGACCTATCCAGAGCCCAAAGGAAGCCCATTGCCCTATAGGGAGAAAGCCAGGCCTGTTAACAGTTACCAAAACCTGAATGAAAAGTCCTTGGGCCTTGAGTGGACATCAGTGACAGCCAGGCAGTGGTCACCGTGGGCTATCAAACCAACATACAAAAATTAGAAATATTTCTATATATTAACAGCAAACAATCTGAAAAAAATCAAGAGAGTAATTCCACTTACAATAGCTACAAAAAAAAGATACCTGGGAATAAACATAACCAAAGAAGTGAAAGGTCTCTATAATAAAACTGTGAAACATTGACGCAAGAAATTGAAGAGGACACAAAAAAATGGAAAGATATTCCATATTCATGAGTTGGAAGCATCAATAGTGTTAATATGTCCATACTACCCAAAGCAGTCTACAGATTCATTGCAATCAGTATCAAAAAGACAATGACATTCTTCAGAGAAATAGAAAAGAAAAATCCTAAAATTAATATGGAACCACAAAAGACCCAGAATAGCCAAAGTCATTCTGAGCAAAAAGAACAAAACTGGAGGAATCACATTACCTGACTTCAAATTATACTACAGAGCTATAATAACCAAAACAGCATGGCTCTGGCATAAAAACAGACACATAGACCAATGGAATAAGTATAGAGTCAAGAAATAAATCCATACACCAACACTGAACTCATCTTGACAAAAGTGCCAAGAACATAAATTGCATCCTGCCATGATTGTAAGTTTACTGAGGCCTCCCCAGCCATGTGAACTGTGAGTCAATTACATCCCTTTCTTTTATCAATTACCCAGTCTCAGACAATTCTTTATAGCAATGTGAAAATGGACTAATACACAGATTGTCACTGTTTGTATAACATGCAAAAGTATAAGTCCATATAGGTATAAGCTAATAAAGACTAAATTGAAAGTTTGATAAGGAATGAGTACACAATATGGAAGAAACTCCTCAAAGAGAAACTCATTAACTATAAACATAAAATTTTTAAAATTACTCTCTGATTTTAAAATCAGAGAAACCTTGCAAAACACCTCAAGGTAATAAAAGTACAATTTTCAGTAACAGAATAAAACAAAATTGAGGAATCAATGAATGGAACACAGAATTATTTCTCTGCTATCCCCACCGAAGTTATATAACCTTAACCTAATGGTGAGGAAACAGAACACAAACTCAAATTGAGGGAAAATGTATATAACTGTCATATATATATATATATACATATATATATATATATATTTTAAGTGTCAAGGTGATAAATGTTAAAAAAAAGAGACTATATGATCCTAAATTTGGTGCATTGACTATAATGGACATTATTTTGACAGTAAGCAAAATGCCAATATTATATAAGGATTAGGAGATAGTAATGTGTCAGTGAGGCTCTGGATTCTAATGGTTATAGTGGAATTGTGTAGAAGAATATTCTTGTTTATAAGAAACACAGTCTGTGTCTTAGAGGATGATTGGCCATTAGGTTATTAACTTACTTTCAAATGACTCAGAAAAAAATTTTCTGTACTGTACTTGCAACCTTTCTATGGGTTTCATTTTGGCTCATTTTCCTTAAATCTGCAAAAATAATATTTGCAGGGAAATATCAACCTTTTTTAAAGAATTTTAAAAATTCTAAGCTTGACCTGATATAAAATGTCAAACATGGCCGGTTGCCTGACATGTCTGTTTACCTGTAAAGAAAAAATCTCTAACAGCAAATAAAGTGATGGACATTTATAAACCCCAGAGCCTCATACTTTTACATTTTTCAGCAATTATTTGTTGACATAAAGCAGTTTGCATCCTATGTTTCTCAGATAACTGTTCTGAGAGCAAAGAAAACCTGTTGTTCCAAAATCAGATGAAAACAAGCTGAATTCCTATTCTTGATGAAAAGCACTCTCACTCTTCTTTCCCTTATGTAGATTCTAACACAGTCTTCCTTAATGACAATGCTGGGCCTTTTTATTGTTGTTGTTTGTTAATGCTATAACTGTGACTTTTGTAAATTACACAGATGTGAACCTTTCTGTTTGTCATTCAGAGAATGTTGTACTAACTATACCAAGCTTACGTTAAGTATCTAAAGCCCAAATAATTCTGTTAATTATCATCAATTCGTTCCTTTCTAGTCCTGTTATACTCACATTTTACCGGAAGAAAGCAAAGCTTTTGGCCACACAACATAATGTAAGTGTGGCTAGGCAATAGAGAAACTTCTGGGTGGTCCAGGAAGCATCCAGTACCACAACTGGATGACGTGGAATAAACCCTGTGCCTCCCTTTGTGCACATTTTATTAGCATCTCCCTCCGGTAGAACTATTGTTGGTTACTTAGATTATATGTAACTGTGAACTAAACTTTACTATTAAACAGTCAAAAAGAAAATGAGTGGGGGAGAACAAGAAGTTTGTGGGCAGGGGCTAGAACAGAGAAGAGTAGCTGGGAGTTAAACTATAACTCCTAAAACACTTTTTGAAGGGATTGGATGTGTAGAACTGAACCACTTGGGTGTGAAAGGACTAGATAATTTTTCTCTAAGTAATTATACAATGGAATTTCTTCCATCCATTCCATCTCTCTCTTTCCCATTCTTCATCCCTCCCTTTCCTATTTGCTTTACTTTTCTCTTTCTCGATCTATATCTAGATCTATATAAATCTATAATATATATATATATTTCCCCTTACCTGTGTTGATGTTTTCCTCTTTTCCTCTCTTCCCTCTTTTGTCCCTTTCTTTTCTTCTTTCTCTCTCTTTCCCTTTCTTCATATGCCAAAGAATTTATGGGAAAGTAGTAAGAGGTGACAGTGTGCTGGCAGTCCTCACAGCCCTCGCTTGCTCTCGGCGCCTCCTCTGCCTGGGCTCCCACTTTGGCGGCACTTGAGGGGCCCTTCAGCCCACCGCTGCACTGTGGGAGCCCCTTTCTGGGCTGGCCAAGGCCAGAGCCGGCTCCCTCAGCTTGCAGGGAGGTGTGGAGGGAGAGGCGCGAGCGGGAACCGCGGCTGCGCCCGGCGCTTGCTGGCCAGCTGGAGTTCCGGGTGGGCGTGGCCTTGGCGGGCCCCGCACTCGGAGCAGCCGGCCGGCCCTGCCGGACCCGGCCAATGAGGGGCTTAGCAGCCGGGCCAGCGGCTGCGGAGGGTGTACTGGGTCCCCCAGCAGTGCCAGCCCACCGGCGCTGCGCTCCATTTCTCACCGGGCCTTAGCTGCCTTCCCGCAGGGCAGGGCTCGGGACCTGCAGCCCGCCGTGCCTGAGCCTCCCACGCCCTCCGTGGGCTCCTGTGCGGCCGGAGCCTCCCCGATGAGCGCCGCCCCCTGCTCCACGGCGCTCAGTCCCATCGACCACCCAAGGGCTGAAGAGTGCGGGCGCACGGCACTGGGACTGGCAAGCAGCTCCACCTGCAGCCCTGGTGCGGGATCCACTGGGTGAAGCCAGCTGGGCTCCTGAGTCTGGTGGGGACGTGGAGAACCTTTATGTCTAGCTCAAGGTTTGTAAACACACCAATCAGCACCCTGTGTCTAGCTCAGGGTTTGTGAATGCACCAATCAACATTCTGTATCTAGCTACTCTGGTGGGACCTTGGAGAACCTTTATGTCTAGCTCAGGGATTGTAAATACACCAATTGGCACTGTGTATCTAGCTCAAGGTTTGTAAACACACCAATCAGCACCCTGTGTCTAGCTCAGGGTTTGTGAATGCACCAATCCACACTCTGTATCTAGCTACTCTGGTGGGGCCTTGGAGAACCTTTGTGTCCACACTCTGTATCTAGTTAATCTGATGGGGACGTGGAGAACCTTTGTGTCTAGCTCAGGGATTGTAAACGCACCATTCAGCGCCCTGTCAAAACAGACCACTAGGCTCTACCAATCAGCAGGACGTGGGTGGGGCCAGATAAGAGAATAAAAGCAGGCTGCCGGAGCCAGCAGCGGCAACCTGCTTGGGTCCCCTTCCACATTGTGGAAAGTTTGTTCTTTCACTCTTTGCAATAAATCTTGTTACTGCTAACTCTTTGGGTCCACACTGCTTTTATGAGCTGTAACACTCACCGCGAAGGTCTGCAGCTTCACTCCTGAAGCCAGCGAGACCATGAACCCACCAGAAGGAAGAAACTCCGAATACATCCGAACATCAGAAGGAACAAACTCCAGACGCGCCACCTTAAGAGCTGTAACACTCACCGTGAGAGTCCGCGGCTTCATTCTTGAAGTCAGTGAGACCAAGAACCCACCAATTCCGGACACAGTAATGATAATGTCATCTCTATCCATTTATTTAAAGCTGGACCCACTAGTTTCATTCATTTCCTTGTAGGATCTGCTTTTCCTTACAGCTTCTCTCTACATTTGAGATGTATTTACATAAGTCAGTTACACAAATTTGTTTGAAGGTGATCAAACTAAAAGAAGATAGTAGTCGTTGATTGTTTACCTATGTACTTTTTTGCAATATGAGTAAAGAAAATTTAGAGGTAAATATAAGTAGCCTATTTTAGCAACCATGCTGACAAAATTTAAGTTCATGTGTTAACTAACAATACTTAATAAGCAATATTTAAAGTTTAAGTTACTCTCTGATATTAACCTATAGTTAATGAAAACATATCAGAATAAAATCTCAATCAGCATTAATTTTAAAATATTAGAACTCAAGACTAATTTTTGGCTTTAGATTCTATGTAAGTCCTTAACTAGCATAAAATAATTAACATTTTATAAATACTTAAGTGGGTATTCAAATTATCAGGTATAACTGGATCAATATTTCTAAGTAAGAAAACATTTATCTTTATTCTCTGTACACAACAGCCAGTGTCTAAAACATGTTTTATATACCTTAGTTACACTATTATTGTGTTTAAAATAAATGTTTAATCTGGTAACAATTATTTTAATATGCACTTAAACAGTATTTTAAGAAATCATAAAAAGATAACTTCTAGGCTTTTACTGAAATCGTTCACACTGCAACCACCAGGGTAGATTTAAACACATCAAGGTAATTGCTTCAGGTGGAATAGTGAAATTAAGAAGATTTTTAAAAAATTTTTCGAACATCAAAGAATAGAGGTACCACTGTCCATCATTTTTATAGTTAAAAAGAATGATTGCTTCTATAATTGAGTCTGTTTTCTAATTCTAAGCTAATCTAAAATCCTGTGTTCTTTACTATAAAGAAAATCCTTGAATTCTAATTACTCTGAGAAATTCAAATAATTGACCATCTGTGGAGTAAATAATAATGTATGATTAATTTTAATGTTCCCATGCTAATTTAATATTTGCTGCCTTCCAAATATGTCAGTCTAATTTACTTTCTTTGTTTTCTTCATAAAATTATTAGAAATATTAGCATGTCAAAATGTTTATTGACTACTTCATAGTTTGTTTTATCTCTTCATAATCTATATTTAATAAATAATTACCTAGATTATGAATGCATGCAAAATTTGATCACCTGTATGTGCTGTAAATTTAAAATATCATGATTTTAGGAGCAAAATTAATTTGCTTGTGCTAATAATCTCTAATTTGAATTATTTTCTTATGCTTTCCTTAAATATTTTGACTTTGTATGTCTATAAGAAGAGAGTTCCCCCTCAAATTTCTTTAGATGTATGACAGAAGCATGGGAGTTCTAGATACAGAGAACAGAGAGGGTTGAGAAGTAGATGGCTTTACAGAAAATTATTTCTTAAAGTCATTTTATGCCCCAGAAGCAGATCATAACATAAGTTGTACTCTTATCCTCTTTTCCTTTTCTTACTTTCATCCAAATTCATAACATTTATTCACATTTATGTCTTAAAACCTTGTATTCAATTACTAAAATACACCAACCCATTACACTCTGGAAGATTTTTTGTTTTTTTGTTTTGTTTTTGTTTTTGTTTTTGGGAAAATACCTTTAAATGTACCCTACTTATGACATCATTCTAGGAATATTTGTTTCACTATTTCATTAGAAAATATTTAGATGTTTTAAATAATATTTTTATGCTACATCTCTTTACATAGAAAAAGGAAAAGTCACCATTCACAGGTCTTAAATTCTTCAAAAGATTCATAGGCCCTATGACATTATCAAGAGCAAATGTGTTTTTCTCTTTATATCTGCCCTCATCAGCACATAGAATATGTACATGATACATAATTAATATATGGTTATTCCTGTAATCTTCATATATGAATATTTGTGAAGTTTTTTTGTTTCTTTATTTAAAAACAAAATAATTCAAAGATTTTTAGGAACTTTTCCAGGGTCATAGGGTTAGCAAGTGGCTAAGTCAAAATTTGAATGTAAGGCCGGGCGCAGTGGCTCACACCTGTAATCCCAGCACTTTGGGAGGCGGAGGCGGGCGGATCACGAGGTCAGGAGATCGAGACCATCCTGGCTAACGCAGTGAAACCCCGTCTCTACTAAAAATACAAAAAAATTAGCCGGGCTTGGTGGCGGGCGCCTGCAGTCCCAGCTACTCAGGAGACTGAGGCAGGAGAATGGCGTGAACCGGGGAGGCGGAGCCTGCAGTGAGCCGAGATTGCGCCACTGCACTCCAGCCTGGGCGACAGAGCGAGACTCCGTCTTAAAAAAAAAAAAAATTGAATGTTAGTCTTGAGTGCAGTTCCCTTCTCTTAGAGAAAAATCATTACGCCTCTTCTGACTCAGAGGCTTACAGTTCCAACCCACTTCTCTAGCCAGTGTTTCGTAGCATGTTGCTTGCCAGAACATCCACATGGGTTCTTCTTTTCCACTTCTCATCGCATGCTACCTTAAGAAACCCTGATGACTCTCTGCCCCCCATGGAAAGACCACTCCCACGTGGAATAAGAGTGCCTCTCATTTTTTTAATCCTATTTGAACCGTATTGCACTGATTTTTATCTTGCTCCTAGGCTACTTGGGCAAGCCTCTTAGTTTCAAAACCCTAGAGATAATATAATTAAATATGCATCCATGTTACAGTCCAGAAGAATGATGGGAAGCTTAAAGGCAAAAATACCTTACTGGCTATATACAGAGCTGTGACACAAGGAAATCTTTAGCTTCAAAGATGCCCAGAAACTTGAAAGGTTTTTTCAATGTTTTTCTTCTTAGTCTTGTTTTGTGTTTTGCAAGATTTTTTAGTTAGATTCATTACACCCTTCATCCAAAATTTGGTTCTGTTTTTTGGTAATAAGTTGTGAATAACTACTAAGCAGTATGCAAGGTAATCAAAGTCCTTGCTAGTTTCAACTTTGTTAATTAAAATATCATAAATCAACATAACATAAGCACCATGAAACCAATTATTACTCAATTCATTTGGTCATTTTTATGTCTTTGTGCTTATATTTATTTTAGTTTTACTTACTATTAGCATTGTTTACCAGTCCATGTGATAGTAGAGTCACCTCACTCTTGTCCCATGTTTCATACATGCCATGTTTGCTTAAAGGTCAGTTTTGCTCTGCTTCCTCTAACGAAAGTTCTTTTAACCTTTGCATAATACATTTAACTTTCCAGCCATTTAATTTTCTTGGAGACTCTCCTCTGAACTCTCTTCAAGTACTTGAGCTGCCTCCATTTATGGAGGCCAGAAAAGTACAATCATTATATCTCTTAGGTGTTTTTGAAGATGTAGGAATAAAAATAAGTGAAGCACTTGAAATTTCTAAGGATGTGCCTTTATAATGCAATACTTAGAGCTTATTACATAAGTCCCCCCAAATTATTTTAATTCCATGCATATTTTCACAGTGGAGATTGTGTGCTACAAATGTAATAGAAATTTGTCAGTGAATGTGTATGCTGGGTGTACGTGTGTGTAACTCTCATCTCCACACACTTAAAGCTCTTTAACTTTTCCATCATTATTAATGGAACTCGATGTGAATTTAGAAAGCTCAGACTTCAAGCTATTTGTTAACTGCCTGAAGTCTTTAGGAAAGACTACTTGATTCTTTTACCTATTTGTTTTGAAAGGAACTTATACATGTTAGTCATTTCATTATATGATGTTCAAAGAAATAACTCAGCACAAATAACGCCCATGGTAGAAAACTCAATAGATTATGTTAAAAGAGCTAGGAGACATATAATACAATTATGCTTCTAGTAAATATTCATGAACACTTTTGTAATTCTATTAGGCATATCTGCTGGCACAGTATTTCCTTGGCACTTCATCTGCATTTGAATGTGTCATAATAATTTTTACTACAGTTATCAGAAAATATTCACAAACCATAATAAAATGGCGTTTTAGAAATGTTAACCCTTCAGCCTTTGCAGTACCTTTGAGCTAGACCAGGAGGATTGCAGAAAACCAAGATGGAAAGATTACTTAAGTCCAGAAGGTTAACATTTAATCAGAAAGCTTTTGTTCATTATAGTTGTCTTTACATCTCCCAATTCTTTATTGCAAGATTAATTGATAAATATAAGGAAGACCTAGCAAGGTTTAAATAGCCAATAAATTATAGGGCACTAACTAGATTGAGGAGTAGCAAAAAGAGTGGGAGTAAGGGCTGGCTCTGAATCAAGTGGATCAGGAAAGGGGAAGATGGGTCTACTATGTCGACAGCAACTTTTATGTGCCGAATAGTATACTGTCATTAATATAACGGAGGACACTGAGGCACTGAGAGGTTAATTCAGCCCACATTAATATCCTAACAAAGTGATCGAGCTGTAATTTGAAAGCCAAATCTGTTTTACTTGAAAGGCCATATTAAACCTTTAAACTAGTTCCTCATTACCAGCTGGTGTAATATTTGATGTGCTGATTAGACAGACAAAAACATGAAGATTAAGAGATGAAAGAATTACAATTAGAAAATAAACAATGAGAGGGGGCAAATATAATTAGGATATCATTAAGCTTAAGAGCAAAGTATTTATTTACCCCAAACATGTGAACTTTAATGTATTTTCTATTTGTGTCTGAACTAATCTTTCTCTATGTTTTGTTCTAAAGTAAAACATAATGTTCATTGATATTATGTTTATGTTTTAATATAATATTATTTAATAATATACTCATTTTTAAATGTAGGCTATATACAAAGATATAAATTAAAATATCAATATAACCTGAAGTTACAGATAACAATGGTTAATATCTTAGCATAAACACTTATAAAAATATACACATTTTTGTTTATGTATAACAATAAATATCGTAAAAATCATTTACAAAAAGTTCTTCATGATGCTTATAGACTACTTTTTTTTCAACCAATATATCCTTGTCATCTTTCAAGGTTAAAGATATAGATTTTCATCATCCTTTTGATGATGTGCGTGTACATATATATGTATATATATATATATATATATATATATATATATATATATGGGTGTGTGCATATATATATATATATTCTACCTATATATTAACATTTGTAATTCTAAAACAACTTTGAAATATTGTTGGAGACAGGGTTATTAAGCAAATTTGATAAATGCCAAGAAAGAATGGAAGCAGGACTATTTTACACAAGGATTTATATCATCATCCATATTACTTTATTAAAAAATGTTTACCAGTTTTCTATCTTATGCGATCTAATTGTTTTTTTATTGTGGGGGTGCCTTAAATGGCACAGTTGGTATAAATATGGTGAAACATAAGTTTGTGCTTTCTTGTACAACTATTTTCTAAATATGTATTTTTCATGATTGTACTGGTGGGTCAAAAATATTCACATTTTGGTAACTAGTTTTCCAAATAGTTTTTTTGATGTGTATAGTGTGCCTTTTACCTCGCCTACTTATCCACACAAATCATTCTCTGTTTAGAATTATTGCTAATAAGTAGGATTAGAAAACATAGCACTATTTTAAATTGGTCTTTGGATTATTTAATAAAAAAATCATTAAAAATTAACGAAAAACTCCTTATGCCACTGTCTACTGGCATTCTTACCTCAGTCTTATTGATGCATATGAAATATTTATTTAGAAAGGATATTAACCTATTGTATATCATGTGTGACAATATTTTATCAAATTTGCCTTTTTTTTATTTTTTACATGTTGAGGATAGTTTTGTTATATTGATGTTTAAAAGATATTTGAAGTCTAGTCTGTCAGTCCTTTCCTCTGTGATTTCTGGCTTTGATGCTTGTGTAACTTCTGAAGGGTGGCCTATAAGCTTGTGAGTTGTGGGTAAGCATAACACCTGCCTCTGGTGAGGGGGAGTGCTGGGGAAGGAGGTGAAGGTTATCCAGGCAGTTTTGATCATCCTAAGGAAAATGATCATGGCTTGACTAGAGAGCTGTTAGAATATGGGCAAGGAAAATACTTCTTTTTTTCAAAGAGTACTACCCTAAAGAGAGCATCTGTGATCATTGCAGACTATAGCCTGGAGTCACTGTCTGGTTTCTAGGATATCTTTAGTTTTCTTTTCTAAGAATGTTTTTCTTAGAAAGTATATATATTTGTGTGTGTGTCTGTGTGTGTATTTTACATAGGTATTAACAACTGTGACTCTAAAAGAACCTCAAAATAGGAAGGGTGTTAAACACATTTGATAAATGCAAAGAAAGTATTAAAACGGGATATTCTGCACAAGGTTATGGTCCATGTTATACACATAGCCACAACTAGATTTCAGGATGTGCCACTGTTGCTAAACTCTTTTATAGAATATTATAAAATTATTGTTTCACCTATTGCTTTCTCAGTAACATGACTAATATATGAATTATATGTTAGGTCTTCTATTATGTCAATAATTTGACTATGGAATCAAATTGTATTAAAAAGTTTAATTCTATAAGGTAAATAGCAGTGTATTCAATTATTTTAAAATTTAACAGCATTATAAGTAACTGTTAAAATAATTTTAAAGAACAAATATTTGTGACATTAGTATCAGAATACTTTTCTCCAAAACATTTGGTTTTTGTTAACCATTAGCTGTCTTTTTGAGGAGCAAGAC
The DNA here is from genome assembly GCF_000001405.40 of Homo sapiens. Taxonomy (NCBI): domain Eukaryota; kingdom Metazoa; phylum Chordata; class Mammalia; order Primates; family Hominidae; genus Homo; species Homo sapiens. Next base: position 56,163,067 of record NC_000010.11, read on the forward strand.
AAAGCTGAGTTGGGTAATTTAAAAAAAGGCTAACAATGTATTTTCTGTGTATGTACGTGTGTGTATATAGAGTTATCTCTGGAAATATGACCTCATATCACCAAACATAACTTTGTAAACACTTTCAAATAAAAATATGTGATGTATACAATACATGTAAAATATGGAAGAAAGAGAGTAGCTATTATTTTATGCCTATTAAATACATTAAGACTGAGGCATGTTCAGAGAAAGTGACCCATTCCAAGTCTAACTTATGCCTCTGCACTGAATTTTTAGTAAACACCTACAATGGTCTCCAACCATTTTGGCAACAGGGAATGGTTTCATGGAAGACAATTTTTCCATGGACCAGGAGTATGGGGGAATGGTTTCAGGATGGAACTTCTATCCTCAGATCATCAGGCATTAGATTCTTGTAATGAGAACACAACCTAAATCCCTCTCATGCACAGTTCACATTAGGGTTTGCACTTGATATGGTTTGGTTCTGTGTCCCTACCAAAATTTCATCTCCAGTTGTAACTCCCATATGTTGAGGGAGGGACCTGGTGGGAGGTGATTGGATCATGAGGGTGGTTTCCCCCATGCTGTTCTCGTGATTGTGAATGAGTTCTCACGAGATACAATTAATTTTGTAAGTAGCAGTTTCCCCTACACACTCTCTCTCCACCTGCCACCAGATGTTGCCTTGCTTCCCCTTTGCCTTTCACCATGATTATAAGTTTTCTGAGGCCTCCCCAGCCATGCAGAACTGTAAATAAATTAAATCTCTTTTGTTTATAAATTACCCAGTCTCAGGCAGTTCTTTATAGTAGTGTGAAAACAGACTAATACAGTAAATTGATACTGAGATAGTGGGACATTGCTATGAGATACCTCAGAATGTGGAAGCAACTTTGGAACTGAGTAATTGGCAGAGGTTAGAACAGTTTGGCGGGCTCAGAAGAAGACAGGAAGTTGAGGACAATTTTGGAATTTCCTAGAGACTTGTTGAATAGTTTTGACCAAAATGCTGATAGTGATACTGACAATGAAGTCCAGGCAGAGGTGGTCTCAGATGGAGATGAGGAACTTCTTGGGAACTGGAGCAGAGTTCACTTTTGCTATGCTTTAGCAAAGAGACTGATGGCATTTTGCCCTGTCCCTAGAGAATCTGTGGAAATTTGAACTTGATAGAGATGATTTAGGGTATCTGACAGAAGAAATTTCAACAGCATGCAACAGGTGACCTGGATTATTGTGAAAGTGTTCAGTTATATGCATTCACAAAGAGATGATCTGAAAGTGGAACTTATGTTTAAAAGGGAAGCAGAGTGTGAAAGTTTGGAAAATGTACAGCCTGACCATGTAGTAGAAAAGAAAAAAACATTTTCTAGAGAGAAATTCAAGCCTGTTCCAGAAATTTGCATAAGTAACCAGGAGCCAAAGGTTAACAGCCAAGACAATAGAAAAAATGTCTCCAAGGCATATTAGAGATCTTCACAGCAGCCCTTCCCATCACAGGCTCATAGGCCTAGGAGGAAAAAATGGCTTTCTGGGCCAGGCCCAGAACCCTGCTGCTCTCTGCAGCCTCAGGACTTTGTGCCTTGTGTCCCAGCCATTCTATCTCCAGCTGTGGCTAAAAGGGGACAAGGTACAGCTCAGGCCACTGCGTCAGAGGGTGTAAGCCCAACCCTCCGTGGCTTCCACATGGTGTTGGGCCTGCAGGTGCAGAGAACACAACAGTTGAGCTTTGGAAACCTCCACCTAGATTTCAGAAGATGTATGGAAAAGCCTGGATGTCCAGGCAGTAGTCTACTATAGGGGTGGAGCCCTGGTGAAGAAACTCTGCGAGGGTAGTGCAGAAGGGAAATGTGGGGTTGGAGCCCACACATAGAGTCCCCACTTGGGGACTGCTTAGTGGAGCTGTGAGAAGAGGGTCACAGTCCTCCAGCCCCCAGAGGAAGATCCACCAACAGCTTGCACTATGTGCCTGGAAAAGCTGTGGGCACTCAATGCCAGCCTGTGAGGACAGCTGCAGGGGTTGTACCCTACAGAGCCATGGGATACAGCTGCTGAAAGAGCCCACTTCTTGCATCAGTGTGCCCTGGATGTGAGACATGGAGTCAAGGGAAATCATTTCAGAGCTCTAATGACTGCCCCACTGGGTTTCAGACTTGTGTGGGACTCATGGCCCCTTTGTCTGGCCAAGTTCTCCTATTGGTATGGGAATATTTAGCCAATGCCTGTACTCCCATGTATCCTGGAAGTAACTAACTTGCTTTTGATTTTACAGATGCATAGGTGGAAGAGACTTGGCTTGTCTCAGATGAGATTTTGTACTTGGACTTTTTAGTTAATGCTGAAATGAATTAAGACTTTGGGGGACTCTTGGGAAGGCATGATTGGTTTTGAAAAGGAATTGAGATTTGGGAGGGGCTAGGGGCATAAGGATATAGTTTGGCTCTGTGTCCTCCACCCAAATCTTATCTCAAACTCTAATCTCCAGTTATGGAGGGAGGGACCTGGTGAGAAGTGATTGGATCATGGGGGTGGTTTCAATCATGCTGTTTTTGTGATAGTGAGTGAGTTCTCATGAGATATGATGGTTTTATAAGTGGCAGCTTCCCCTGCACTCTCTCTATTTCCTGTCACCATGTAAGATGTGCCTTACTTTCCTCTTACCTTCTGCCATGATTTTAAGTTTCCTCAGGCCTCTCCAGCCATGTGGGGCTGAGCCAATTAAACCTCTTTTGTTTATACCATGATTTTAAGTTTCCTCAGGCCTCTCCAGCCATGTGGGGCTGAGCCAATTAAACCTCTTTTGTTTATAAATTACCCAGTCTCAGGCATTTCCTTATAGCAGTGTGAGAATGGACTAATACAGTGCTCCTATGAGAATCTAATGCTGCTGCTGATCTGACCAGAGGCAGAATTCAGGTGGTCATACTCGCTTGTCCTCTTCTTACCTCCTGCTGTGTGGCCCAGTTCCTTACAGGCCACAAATTGGTACCAGTCTGTGGCCAGGGGTTGGGGACCCCTTACCTACAACAAATATTCATTGATTTACTTGTATGTGGCAAGTAATAGTCTAGTCTGCAGAAAAAGAGCAGTAGAAAGAAAAGAGAGACTCTCCTACCCTGGTAGGACTTGCAGTTCAATAGTAGTGCTGGGATGGAGCTTTTAAAGAGTAAGGTGTTTTTGAAATGTAAAATGTAAATATAGATAGATAGATGACAGATAGGTAGGTGAATAATATATATACAGCAATGGAGAAGATAAATGCTATTAGTAAATAGAACAGAGTAAGGGAAATTGGAATACTGATGGGGCAGTTTGTAATTTCATATACAGTGGTCAGAATACTTATTACAGGAAAAAAATAACATTTAAAGAAACATGTAAAGGAAACAAGGGCTTTCATAAATCCAAATATCTGTGTCCTAGATATCTGGGGGAATCAAAATATCTGTATCCTGGCTGCTAGGATCCTAATATACTGGCTCTGCAGCAGAATTTTGCTTGGGGGTAATCAAGGGATATCAACAAGAAAAGTTAGTTTAATGTAGGAGAAACTGTGATCAAAGAGCAAATGAGAGTCAGACTTTATAAGGCCTATGGACAATGGTGAGAATTGCATCTTGTTTTAAGACTTTTAATTTCCAGTTATTTTAACACAACTCAAAGTAATTTACACAAAAAGGAGAAATCAAATTGGCTTTGCCTATGTTTTGTTCCCATCACTTCAGGTTCACACAGTTTTCAGGAAGATGGGGTACTACAGTTTGACCAATCTGTATCACATGACTATACCTGTGACTGGATGAGTGAGCAGTAATTGACATCAAACCAGAAGAATATAAAATGGGAAAAAGACTTTACCACAAAAGGAGAAGTGTACGTGTTATACAAACTTAATAGTTGGCAGTTTTAAATACCTAGGATATTGAGTAAAAGCTCATGCTTTCTTAGGATAAATCCCTTTTTTGCCTATTTTTATTTTTCTTGGGTAAATAACAAGGAATGAGAATGCTAGGCTATATATTATGTATACATTTAGCTTTATTTAAAAAAATCAATAAATGGCTTTCCAAAATAACTGTATGATTTTGCATTCCCACTGGTATTGCATGAGACTTCAGTTGTTCCTTATTCTTGTCATCACTTGATATTGTCCGTTTTTAAATAGTATTTTAGCCATTCTAATACGTGTGCTGTGCTATTACATTGCAATTTTAATTGACTGTTTTCTAATTACTAATATTGTCAAACATCAATTCATTTGTTCATTTATTTCTCATCTCTATGTATTCTCTGGTGAAGTCTACAATGAAATTTCTTGACCATTTTTAACTTTTTGATTATTGAGTTAGTGTTATTTATTTACTGTGGTTAGAAGTCCTTTATTAGATCATTGTTTTACAAAGCTTCCCTTCAGTGTGATTTGCTTTAAATGTTCTAGCAATATCTTTTAAAGAGTAGACTTTCTTATCTTAATGAACTGTAATGTATTACTATTGTTGTTGTTGTTTTGTGTTTTCTCAATCCAATGTAAGAAATCTTTGCCCATCTCAAAACTTGCAAATATACTCTTCTATTTTTTTCTTCTAGAAGAGTTACAGTCTTGGGTTTTATGTTTAGGTCCAGAATGACTTACAATTGTATTTTTATATAATAAAAGGTATGACTTGAAGTTCATTGTTTATATATAGTTGTTTAGTTGTTCAGCATGAATATTGAAGAGGCTATTCTTTCTCTATTGAAGTGGCTTCCCAACTTTATCTAAAAGTAATTGACCATATAATATAGTTAGGCTGTGTTCCCATAAAAATCTCACCTTGAATTGTAATAATCCCCCTGTATCCAGGGTGGTGCCGGGGGAGATAATTGAATCATGGGGGTGACTTCCCCCATATTACTGTGGTAGTGAGTAAGTCTCATGAGACTTGATGGTCTTATAAATGGAAGTTACACTGCACAAGCACTCTTATCTGCTGCTGTGTAAGATATGACTTTACTCCTGCTTCGCCATTTGCCATGTTTGTGTGGCCTCCCCAGCCAACTGGAAGTCCATTAAACCTCTTTCCTTTATAAATTACCTAGTCTCAGTTATGTTTTTATTAGCAGCATGGGAACAGACTAATACACCATGTATGTGTAGACTTATGAATGAATCCTCTATTCTCCTCCACTGATTTATTCACCTTTCTCCAGCACCATACACAAATAATTTAATTTTCTTTTTTCAAACCATGAACTTTTTGATTTGATATTTTTGTCATATTGTACTGCCTAGGACCTCCATTTTAATGTTAAATGGCACTGATTAAAGTTGATTATTTTACTTTGTTGCCAGATCATAGAATTAGAATTAGTACATTCTGTATTACCAAAAAGTGTGATACTAGCTACAGTTTTTTAATAAATGCCCTTTGACAAGTTGATAAAGTTCTCATTAACTACCAGTTCAATCACAGTTGTTATCATGCTGAATGCTGAATTATTAAAAATACTCATTTTGTATTATATTAGTTCCCCATTGATGCTATAATAAATTACCACAAGCTTAGTGGCTTAAATCAATACAAATTTATTATTTTATAGTTATGGATTTCAGAAGTCCAACATCAGTTTCCCTGGGCTAAAATCATAACGTCAGCAGGCCTGCATTTCTTCTGGGTATGCTAGAAAAGAGTCTGTTTTCTTTTTTCAGCTTCTAGAGTCCGTCTACATCCCATGACTTCAGTCACCATCTTTATCTTCTCTCTCTGACTCTGGTTCTCCTGCCTCCTATTTATAAAGATACTTCTGAACACATTGGCTTTACTTGCAATATCCCAATCTTGAAACCATTAACTTCATCACATATGAAAATTTTATTTTACCATGTGAGGTAACATATTCACAGGTTCCAAAGATTAGGGCATGGACATCTCTGGGGAGCTTTTATTTAGCCTACTAAATCCACCTATTAATGTGATTATATGGCTTTTTTCTCTTTTAATATAGAAAAGTACATTGATTTATAATCAATTATTTGATCTACCTTGTAATACAGGCATAAGTCTCACTTCATCTTGATGCATTATCATTTTTATATGTTGATAGATTTGATTTGCTAATATACTATTGAGGTTTCTGTACTTCTACTCTTGTAGGATATTGATCTGTATTTTCTTATAATAGAGAGCTTCTGGTAAGGGCTCTTTAAAACCTCATAAAGCCACACAGAAAGATGATTCCTCTTCCTTCCTCTAGAAATTGCCATGACTGGACAGGACACTCCAAAATTTTATGCCATTTTTCTATGAAACTCCTGAGGAAGCCAATACAGAGAAGGAGCAGCACCAAAAATATTTAGAGAAAAGAAGAGCTAAACTCTTGACATCTGTGCTTCGAGTCTTCCTTAACACTAGCGTCTTGTTATATGAAATAATGCATCCCCTTATTACTTAGTTTGTAGAATTCTGCTTTTGTTTTTACTTTTCTGTTACAAGAAAAGAAGCCAACCTCATCTGGAATTACATATGTGGAAAGTTTTATTTGGATTATCTTTAAAAACCTGGATTTTTAGGCCTTATTGGTAATATTCCTCACAATTAATTCAAACTGATTAATGCTTAATCAATGCTTATTTCTGTTCACATATTTATTTTTTAATATTATAAATAAAAACACAATAATTGACCATTTTGTTACTTTCAGTATTTTAAAAACAGATGGTTTATCTTGTAGGATTTTGATTGTCATCTAATGGTTTCGTATTTAGTGAAAATTTCAAAAAGCTAAAACTAAGCCTGAGATATAGAAAAGAAATTAGTCTCAACAATTTTTTTTTATCTGATTGGAAGTAAAAGTATAGCAAACATATTACTATATGTACTAGTCCATTTTTACACTGCTATAAAGATTCTACTGGATACTGGGTAATTTATAAAGGAAAGAGGTTTAACTGACTCACAGTTCTGCATTGCTGGGGAGGCCTCAGGAAACCTACAACCTTGGCAGAAGGTGAAGGGAAAGCAGGCACAAGGCAGCAGGAGATAATTGAGTGAGGGCACAGGAAAAACTTCCATTTATAAAACCATCAGATCACCTGAGAATTAACTCAGTATCATGAGAACAGCATGGAGGAATCTGTCCCCATAATCCAATCACTTCCCTCCCTTGACAGGTGGGGATTACAGGTCCCTCCCTGTACACGTGGGGATGATAATTCAAATTTGGGTGATAACACAGAGCCAAACCATATCACCATAATAGATTTGTAATTTCTAATATTGTTCCCAAGAGATTTTAATATCCTTTTCATTACTTACACAATACTGGGCTATAATAGTAATGTCAAATTTCCTCCATTACAATAACTCTTAGGTTTCCTCTTTATTATTATTATTTTTTTTTTTTTGAGAGGGAATTTTCTTTTGTTGCCCAGTCTGGAGTGCAGTGGTGAGATCTTGGCTCACTGCAACCTCTGCCTCACAGGTTCAAGTGATTCTCCTGCCTCAGCGTCTGGAATAGCTGGGATTACAGGTGGCCACCACCATGCCTGGCTAATTTTTTGTATTTTTAATAGAGGCAGGGTTTCACCATGTTGGTCAGGGTGGTCTCGAACTCTGGACCTCAGGTGATCCACCCACCTGGGCCTCCCAATGTGCTGGGACTACAGGCGTGAGCCACTGTGCCCGTCAGGTTTTCTCTTAAAGCAGGGTTTTTGTGTGTTTATTTGCTTTTTAGTTTTTTGTTTTTGTTGTTTTTGTTTTTTGAGGTTGGTCATGGATCAGCTAAGTGAAGACTTGCAGGCTTCATGATTCAACTTCTTTGAACTAACTAGTACTAGTAGCTTTAATAACTTTGACAAAAATCTCTCAGACGAGAAGATTATTAAGCTTATTTAATGGATGATTATACAAACTCAGCTGGACAAAACTCCAGTTTCTAGTCTGAAGTCTGATTTATACATGCATAATATCAGTTGTACATACTTTAAGGAAATTGAGCAGATCTTTCCACCTTGATTATATATGTTTCAAAATCTAAAATACTAGTGCAAGTTTTTTTTTTTCCTCTGTCTTGGGGCTTGACTTGTTAATTTTATTTTGTCATTTTTGTTGTTTAAGTCATCTGACAGTACAAGACTTCCAAGAACTGCCATACCCAAATTTAAATTATGTAATCAAAGTTTAGTTGATATAGGTATTTCATGGATGATCACTAGTCAGAGATCACTAACTAAAATACTACACTGGGATCCCAAGAAGGCTAAAGAAATGCTAAATTGCAGAACCCAAGATCTTGCATGTCTACTCAAGCTACATCAGTAATTAAACAAGCCAGCTTATTCTAAGTGTTCTGAAATTCCTATTAAAATAAAGCATTTTCTTGATATTAGAGATTTTGTATAAACTGTTAAATGTTTTAAAAATAACCAGAACACTTGAAATAAAAATAAACTGAAAATAAAACACTTGGAGGCTCCAAATTATATTTGCAAATAGCAAATTTCCCATTGAGACATAGATTTTTAAGGTGGTTGAAAGCAATTTACTCAGGAGTAATCATTATATATTGTAACAACTATTCTCCAAGCTATAAACACTAATATAAACAGTTACTATTGACCATTTCTGAGAGCTAATTAATATTCTATCAAAAACAATCAAGGGATTATTGAATAGACTACTTTTGCATATAGTGGCAACTGGGCTATTTCCTAGAAATTATGACCACATTCTTAATGATTGTAATGCTTTAAAACAAACTCCGCATCAAAAGTGTGTAGTTTTCATCATAGTATTTAACTTATTTTTCCTACAACACAAAGAAAATTAACTTCCATGTGACTTCAACAAAAATGTACAGTTAATTGCTCTTCATAAATTAGTCATTATAAATTGCATAGACATTAGTTGAGGGTTTCTAATAGTTTCAAGCCACTTAAAAGATACACTAGAAGTTAAGCTCATAGCTACACTTTCAGCTACAGCAATTTATTTTCTACTAGCGAAAGAGAAATATGAAAAAATTATTTAAATAATAGTCCATTTTTTTGTATTTCATTTGTAGGAAACTACAAAAAATGTTAATTTAATTACATTGTAACAACTAAATTGTGTACAGAGGATACTATTGAGTAATGCTCACTTTTCTGGATTTCACACACAGAATCATTCTATTCATCAACTTTTTATTTCAAAAGTGACCTTACGTCTCAAGTGGGTACAAATACTATGATTTAATTGATGTTTTTTTGATGGTTCGTATGGCAGCATCTCTCCTAGTTAAAGGGAGTTAAATTTCTGTTAGAATAAACAAACTTTTCTTATAAAACTGCTCATTTTTTTCTTTAAAAAGCATGTAATTTCCAATAAAATACAGAGGTGCTTTATTTATTTAGTTATGTTGAGGTTTCTTAACTAGGAAATGTTTATTTAAGGTTTGTGCAGACTAAGAAGCATGAGAATGCTAAAACTTTAATAGATACTTTATGTGACTACATGGTTTAAATTTTATAAATTATTCTTTCTTGTCATTACCTGGCATTTAATTCAATCAACTAAAGCAACAGCTTTCTTGCTAAAAGACCTGAAAGAAGAGCCCAGCACAACAGAAAATCTCAGTAAGAATGGAGACATAGGAGCTTACCAAATCAACCCATTAATGTCGTTGATGAAGTACTGGCTCACAATTACAGATATGACCAGAAACAACATAAATAGATTTTGAGAACCAAAGATCAAACAAAAACCTCAGAGAAGCAACTGAGTGGCATTTATAGGCAAAAACCTGAATAAGACTCCAGATGCTTTGAAAACTTTTACCTGACACTGAAACCACAACCTACAGAAAGCTGATCAGAATTTGTGGGCTGAATTCAAGGAGGCGATTGAGTTCTAAGCCAGAACAAAAATAAAACAAGGTATCTATGTTCTACCACACAGCTTAAGCAAGATCTGCAGTGTCATAACAAAATACTGAAAATGTCTAGTACATAAACCAAAATTATTCAGCATATGGTAGAAACAGAAAAATCTCAAATTGCATGAAAAATTACAATTAAAAATGTTAATGACAAGATGACATAGATATGGGAATTATCCGACAAATATTTTAGAAGAGCTATTTTTAAAGGCATTCAATGAGTAATGGTAAATAAGTGAATAAGAATACAGTAGTTCTCAGACTATAATATTGAATACTTTTTCTAGTGCTCATTATTATTAAACTATAGGTATTTTTTAAATTCAGAAAAGGTTGTTGAATTTTACTCATATCTAATAACATCTATTGAAATATTCAAATCATGTTTCTTCTTTAATCAGTTATTATCAGTTTTCTTACTTTCACTATATTCAGAATAATGTGCTTGCATCTTCATCCATTAATAAATATGAAACACATTTCAGGCAACAACATTATGATATAAATGTATAGTTTTCTCAAATGGCTAAATTCAAGCAATACTTTAGTGTGGCACAGAGTCTCATGGGCATAAACATGCTCACACATTCAAATACAGTGGAAAATTGAGAAACAAATATTTTGTCTTTGTTTTCCATTAAATGCCTGGGAGATCTTTGGAAGCCACTTCATTTCTACAGGTATCAGTCTTATCATCTGTGTAAAAATTGTTTACATTAAACAACCTCCTTCCAAGTACACACTTCCCAGTCTTTTAACATGTTAAGGTTTTCCCTGCATATACACCTGTTTTATATGTGAAGTAAGATTATAATCTCTTACCACTTCTATTTAATATTTTTACTAGAGGATTTTACCAGTTCAACAGGACAAAGAATAAAGAAGAGGGAAAAGAATGAATAATAGTCATAAATATATGAAAGAAATAATCACAACTATATGTATTTGCAGATTACATAATTGCACATTTAGAAAATTCAAAAGAATGTACAAAAAACCTGCTAGGTATAAAAAGTAAATTCATGGTCTCAGGATACGATATTAATATGTAAAAATCACTAGGTCTTTACACAAAGAACAAAGTAATTCATTTACTTTAGGAACAAAAATTATATTGAATATACTATTTGTAGTAGCACCAAAAATGTAAAATATCTAAAAATATACTTAACAAAAATCTAAAAGACTTCTACACTGAAGGTCACAAAACATTGCTCAGGGAAAAAAGGACTATTATTTGGAAAATTATTACAAGCTTATTGGTGAGAAACCTCAATATTGTAAAGACATGTATTCCTTCAAATTTGAATTAAATCAGCATACATTTTTCCAGATATGTACAAGCTAATGCTCAAGTTTGTATAGACTTATACAAACACTATTGGAAATATAGAGCAAAGTCAAAGGCATTAGTGTAACATGAATTTAAACTTATTATAATGTTACAGTAAGAGAGTGTAGTGTCGGAATAAGAATAGTCAAAAAGTTTAATTAACTAGAAAAAAAATCCACATTCAGTGGTCCAATTATATTTAACAAAGACATTAATTAATCTAAATTGGAATAAAATAATTTTTCCACAAATTATTGTGTATCAGTTGCCTATTTATAATTTTTTAAAAGGGGAACAGTGTTAACCTTACATTACTTCATACACAAAAATTAACAAGTAAATGTACATGGAAAATTACAGCTATTAAAATAAATTATTGAGGCACATTTAAATGAAAAATTTTAAAAATATATATGGCTAAATTGCCCTATTTAAAAAAACAATCTGGAGAACTCCAGTTTCTAGTTTAACATATAAGGAGCTGAGAAGATGTGACTCTTTGCTAACAAGTAAAAATCTGAACAAATTGTAAAATTAACAACTTTCCTTAAGGCTGTACTGTAATATTAATAAAAGTGAGGTTATAGAGCAACTACTGCCCCATAAAAGTGAGACAGACAAAATAACACTGAGAATCACACCTTACCAAAGCAGACATCCATAAGATGAAACTTCTGTGGGAACTAATGCTAAAGTAGAAAAACCTAAAATGTAATTGACAAAATTCCTGGAGACTCAGGGTGGACACGTCTGAGAGTTATAAATTCCAGCCATCAGAAGCCCCCACACTTTAGTGAGTTTTACCACCTGAAGCTGTAACAGCATCTAAACATAAATATTGGAGAAAAATCCTCTTACGGGGTGGCAAGGGGTAGAGAAAAGGCACCTTTATGAAATATACCAGAGCCTTCTGTTTTCTGCCCTTGGGACAAACTATTTTAAAAAGGCTTAACTTCCTGGGGTTTTATTAGAGTCTAAGAGACCTGGGGAAGGGAATTAAATATCTAGCTTTCCATGAGGAGGAAGAAAAATACCTAATTCCAGCATCCTCTAGCCATCAACATTGGAGAAAGGAAATGCCGAACTCCAGCCACCTTAAGCCACCCTGTTTCACTTTACCAAGTAAAAGGAGCCAATCAGATAAGGCTACGTACTGTTTGATTTCAAGTACATGACCTCCTGAAAAAGGCAAGACATTGGAGAGAATCAAAAGATCAGTAGTTGTCAGGGGTTAGTGGGAAGGAAGGATAAACAGGCCAAGAACAGAGAATATTTAGGGCAATCAGACTTATATATATATAAACACACACACATACACACACACACGTATATGTATATGTGTATATATGTATATGCGTGTGTGTGTGTGTGTGTGTGTGTGTGTGTATATATATATATATATATATATATATATATATATATATATAGTACTGTGAGTGTGAATACATGTCATTATACATTTGCCCAAACCCATACAATGTGTAATACCAAGAAAGAAACCTAATGTAAACTATAGACTTTGGGTAATAATGGCTTATCAATGTAGGTTCATTAATTATAAGAAATGCATTACTCTAGTGAGAGATGATGATAATAGAGAAGACTATGCATGTTTGGGGGCAGAGAGTATATGAGACATCTCTGTCTTCTGTTCAAGTTTACTGTGAATCTGAAACTGCTTTAAAAAATATTGTGTTATTTTAAAAGTAATACAGAGTTCAATAAGCCCTAAAAAAGAGAGCACATGTTGACTACAATTAGTATCTGAGGTATTAGAGGAGTGTTTTTATTGCATTATTATTGTTTTTTAATCCAAGAAGAGTCAAAAGAATGTTGATTTCTCAGTTAATATATCTTTCCCAGTATAGGGGATACCCCCAAAACACAAAAACGATAACAAAAATCTTATTAAAAGACCTTATTAAGAATACGAAAAAAGCAGGAAAAAACATTCACAAATACATTTCTGAACAAAACTTGATCCAGAATATTTAAAAACATCCAACAAGTAAATAATTTGTAAGAATTTGGAGTGAAAGTAATGTTCTATCGCTTAGTTGGTATGCTGCTTAAACACAAATATACATTTGACAAAACCAATCAAACTATATTCCTAACACACATGCACTTTATATGTAAGCATATCTTAATTTAAAAATTAAGGAAAAAGTAAGTTAATATACATTCCTCTTTATGATTTATTGAATCATTGCCACCAACTCTAAGCAGCTAGCCAATTCCGTATCATTTGCTATTCTTATGTGATTGATAACATTTAAGTTCACTTTGTGGTTTTGAAAAATGTCCAAGGACAAAACCATTATGTGTTTTAGTATCCCTGACACTAATTCCATACCACTCTATAGGTCTCCCTAGTTACACACATTTTAATTCACATGTCCTACATGCTCTTATTTATTGCTGAGCTTATTAGAAAGCTCTCTGTGCAACTACATTGTTTTCTTTAGCTTCTCCTGGTAGTTTCCCAAGGATGAAGAGGACATTTTTGAAGTTATTAATAAATAATTTAAGGAGAATCCTGCACCACTTTGTAAGAATTCATTCATTTGTTATTTTATAATAACATAAATGCATTTTCTATTAGGCTGTCTTTTCCAAAGCAATTAAACACTAATTTCTAATATTTGTCTCTCTTTCTAGAATATAACATTCAAATTAATTTTCCCTTTCAGATTGTTAATGCTTGTGAAATTGGACTCACTGGACTCAGTAAGACAAACTGGGTTGGCCATACAAACTTTTATTTATTTATTTATTTATTTATTTTTGAGATAGAGGTTTGATCTTGTTGCCCAGGCTGGAGTGCAATGGTGCGATCTTGGCTCACTGCAACTTCTGCCTCCGGGTTCAAGCAATTCTCCTGCCTCAGTCACCAGAGTAGCTGGGATTACAGGCACCTGCTACCACGCCCGGTTAATTTTTATATTTTTAGTAGAGATGGCGTTTCACCATGTTTGCCAGGCTGGTCACAAACTCCTGACCTCAGGTGATCCACTCAAAGTCCTGGGATTACAAGCATAAGTCACCATGCCCAGCCAGGTCATACAAACTTTAACCTCACCTTCACACTTTCTTCTATTTAGATGCAATGCTTGGTTTATATTTCAAAACCAAAGAGCTCTGTAGAGCCAGGAAAAGTAAAAAACAAAACAAAACAAAAGCATTAAGAACTTCTACTATTCAAATGAAGAGAACTAAATTTAGAATAAGAAATAATAATAAGATGTTTCATGACAGCCCCAAAGAAAGCTCCATCTTTTTCAGTTTTGAAAATAATAAACCCAGTTTTATATATTTAAATGTCTTCCTTACAGAGTAGCGGGAACATTTATGCTGCACTTTATTCACCCATTCATATCAATGTGAATTGGAAAATGAAATGTTAAAGTGCTTACATTTTCTTGAAATAAAAACAACTGAAGTATAGGAAATGTAATCAGACAAAAAAGGTTCACAGCAGTCAGTTGTCTCCACATTAGTATAGTCATCTGATATTTTTTTTCAAAATTTTCACAGCTTTATGCAAATCAAATGACACAGATTTGTCAAGATTTGCATATCTTCATATTAATAATTGGACTACTGAGAAGCTGAGATACGATTTTATCTAAATGATTATTTAAATAAAAACCCCGCTGATTTTTTTTAAAGTATCTCACAAGCTACTAAGCAAGGAAGACATTTATGAATAGTCAGTATCTCTGAGACCTGTAATAGTTCCTAGTTACAAATTATCCAACTGGATAACTTGTTCTTAAAAATGCAAAAACCAGCCAAATCCAACTCTTCTGAGGAAAGATTTCACACAATCTGTCCAAGAAAGAAAAAGCAAAGGCAGGCTGCCACTGTGGATTCTTTAGCATGCCTATTCTGTCTAACTTGATTCAGGTGAAAAAAAAATAGAAAAAAAAATAATTGTCTGTTATCTTAATTGCTTTTGGTATTATGTGCCCTCTCTCTCCCCTGGAGCTATTTCAGTGTGGTCAGAGAAAATGCTGTCAGCTGATATGTTACCCAGTGGTATCAACTTGAATGCTGACACTTTCCTCATGCATTCCATCCAGCTCTGCATACTCAACAGGAAACGCAGGGAAATGCTGGCACAACCTGACTTATGCTGTCAGAGCCTACCAGTGTGAAGTCCATTGCTACTAATGATCATGCCACGAACTGCCAGCACGACATTATTAACGACACTGTCTGAGTTCTGCAAACCTCTGGTGTCTCAATTAGCAAAAGTACACACTGTTGGTTTAACCTGAAGATTAAATATCTAAAACAAAGAAAAAATTAATATGAGGTGCATGACAATTTTCTAAGTGTTCTGAGCATTTGGTATTGCTGTCTTGTTTGTTTTAGACTATTAAAAGTATAATAAAATGATTCAAATTCCTCAAATCCATTTGGATGATTTACTGAATAAGGATACTGATGACGTAGAATTTGGAGCAGTTGGGTGGGGGCTAAGGGATGATCATAAAAAATGCTTGTATTGAATTGAATACACTTTTATTCTTTTTTTGGAAAATGGCTTCAAATAAAAACATTTAGAGTTTATGATAATTTTCCTCAAATTACCTTTTGATCCTTCTTAGTTACATAGTATAATCATATGTGCATGAACACACACGTCTGCAATTCCTCACTCAGTAACATTCACTAATGACTTCTGTATTTCAGGCACGGTCCTGGGTTCAGTGATGAGAAACAGATACATAAGGAAAGAATCTTCCATTTAAAAGGTTATAATTGAGTTTTTACTTTTTCCCACAAGCTGGTTGAAATAATTAAATCATCTCATTGACTCATCTCTTCCATCATTAACTTATTTTTGCATTTTGAATTGAAATTTCCAATCCAACTAACCCCTCAACCATTCTATAGCATAATGTGATTTTGAATTGATTAGTGACAATTAACATACAAAAAGTAATATTTTGATATTATATTAAGAATAGTATAATCAGGCCACTGCACTCCAGCCTGGGTGACAGAGCAAGACAGCATCATCTCTTTAAAAAATTAGTACCTAATATTTGTTTAACATTATGTTTAAAAGACTACACTAAGGCATTTGTATATACAGTTCATTCATTTATTAACCATTATTGAGCACCTACCATGTGTGAGAACCTAAACTGTGCTGAAGATACAAGAGTGAAGAGAAGAGACAAGATTTCTTTAAGCTGTGTACATTCTGCTTGGGGGATATATATGTGTAAAATAAATTAACAAGTGACAAATTACATAGAGATCTATCGTAAAAGCAAAAACATAATGGCAGGGTAGGATCATGTACAATATCTGAGGAAAATCCTCCATGTTTGCACTCCAAATTAACACAGTTGTCATGCATTTCCCTCATAGGGTTTCTTCTCCTTCTATACTGCCAAAAAAAGGAACCAGGCTTAATTCAATTAAAAAGTAATTAAGTTCATCTACCATGATTAAATGGTTCTGCTGGAAGCAGGTTAAATCTATTGCTACCTCCTCTAATTTTCTGACACAATTAAATGATAAAGAGAATGAAAAACGATACTCCCCAGTAAGCACTTGTAATTTTAATCAAGACTTTACTCTTTGAATTGTTTTATGGCATTTTAAGTGTTGAAGCTGAAACCTATGGAAGGCTAATATTTGTTTTGTGATCCTAGCACTTTCCTCTTTTTTCTTTTTTTTTTTTTTGAGGAGACAGGGGAATTGTAACATTAAAATGTAATTTGAGTGAAGAAAGTCTTAAATTGTAGTTTTAATTTGACTCTCTAGATCATTAAAATAACATATTGGTTGTCAGTTTTAGTTCTCAGTATATTATGAGGTTTTTTTAAGCTTATCTTGGAATATAGAAGTATTTCATTAGAAACTGAATTATGAATTACTAAACTAAAATTCTAATTACTGTATAGCTAGCTGGCTATATGATTGATAGAGAGAGAGAGAGAGAAAGAGCAAAGAGAGATAAAGAGAGGTTTTTACTGAGGAAAAGGATATACAAATGAAAGAACAGTAATTTAGTACTTAATAACTAGATAATTTCAAGCAGAACAATCTTGGTTCAAATCCTAGCTCTGCATGATTTATAAACCTTGATGTTCCTCATTTTCCTACTTGTAATTTGAGAATCAAGAAAATTCATAAATTGTGAGGATTCAGTGAAATATATTTTATGTAAAGTACTTGACTCAATGTGTAACACTGAAATGACATTCAATAAACCTTAGCTCTACTATTATTAAGTATAAAGTATATATTTAAGTATAAAAGTGCCTTTAAAACTAAAAATGATTATATGAACGTAAGGTATGATAGATAGCATAAACGGATTGTAGTAGTGCATCTTTCATGCATTAATTCATTTACACAATTGACCTTGATTCCCTGGAATCTATAGCCATAATATACATAATAGAGTAAGCCTTAACTTCAGATGTAGGAAATCATGAGAGATTATTGTTCTCCTTAATAGTAACTTTAAGAAGCAAATTACTGGCTAGCCATATGTGAAAAATGCAACTGGACTCTTATGTGTCACCATATACAAAAATTAACACAAGATGAATTAAAGACTTAAGCATAAGATCTAAAACTATAAAAATCCTACAAGAAAACATAGGAAGAACTTTTCTAGATATTTATCTAGGCAAAGAATTTATGATGAAGACCCCAAAAGCAAATGTAACAACAACAACAAAAATAGATAAGTGGGATTTAATTAAAACGTAAAAGCTTCTGTACTGCAAAAGAAACTATCAATAGAGCAAACAGGCAACCTTCAGAATGGCAGAAAATACTTGCAAATGATCTATCCAACATCCAGAATCTATAAAGATCATGAACAATTCAAAAAGGAAAAACAACCCCATTAAAAAATGTGCAAAGGCTATGAATAGGCACTCCTCAAAAGAAGACATGCAAGCAACTAACAAATATATTTAAAACTATTCCACATCTCTATTCATCAGTGAAACGCAAATCAAAACCACAATAAGATACCACTTCACATCAGTCAAAAAGGCTAAAGTCAAAAAGCAATGGATTTTGGCACTGAAACAGAGAAAAGGGAATGCTTAACACTGTTGGTGAGAATGAAATTAGTTCAACCTGTATGGAAAACAGAATGGAGATTTCTCAAATAAATAAAAATAGAAGTACAATTTGATCCAGCAACCCCACAGCTGAGTATCTACATAAAGGAGAAGAAATCATTATAAAGAAAAGACACCTATGCTCATATGTTAATCGAAGTACTATTTACAACAGCAAAGTCCTGGGACCAACATAGGTGTTCATCAACAGTTAACTGGATAAAGAAAATGTGGTATATGTACACTATGGAATGGTATGCAGTCGTAAAATGAATAAAATCAAGTCCTCTGCAGCAACGTGAATGGAGCTGGAGACTACTATACTAAGTGAACTAACTCAAAAACAGAAAGCCAAATGTTGCATGTTCTCACTCATAAGTGGAAGTGAAACAATGGGCATGCATACACATGAAGATAGAAATAACAGACACTGGAGGCTCCAAAATGGGGGAGGGTGGGAGGAGAGCAAGGGTTGAAAATTTGCCTAATGAGTACAATGTTCACTGTTTGGGTAATGGGTACACTAGAAAACCAGTTCCCACCAGTGTGAAATATACCCATATAACAAACATGCACATGCACCCCCTGAATTTAAGATAAAAGAAAAGCTAATTTTGCTGCAAAATAATCATTTTTAGAATCTTACCAGAGATCTGTGGACACAAAGAAATGTAAATAAACTAAACTTCAGAAAGCGATAAGCCTTTTATAGGAGGGAAATATTCATGGGCTGCTCTTATTTCTAGCAAAATTTTGAAAAAGAAATCTGTTAGAGGGGGATGTGGCAAAATTAGGCAAACTGTTAAGAAACTTTAAGCTACCATATATAAAACTGCCACGATAGATTAGAATCCTGAGGAGGACCATTAATAAACAGTCTGCGCCCACTTGCCAATTCTTAAATTGAGTCTTCAAGTGCAGCAGAGGTGGGTAGCTGGGCCAAAGCTGAGGGTTATCGGGAGACTGAAGAGAATAAGAGCTAAGAGTTATCCCTGTAAAGTGAACAGATCTTTCATAAATAGAATGTTTCCTCAGGTGGCAGGCACAAAGTAGGCTAGCTGAGTGTAATTCATCAGATGCACTTCCAACTTTCAACAAGCAATAACTGACATTGGAGCTGAAGAATCCTTCAAGACATTACATGCCTTCAAAGAGTGTTAGATCAATGCCTTTGAAAGGTAAGGGAATGCCTGTAATCCCAGCTACTTGGAGGCTGAGGCAGAAGAGTCACCTGAACCTGGGAGGCAGGGGTTGCACTGAGCTGAGATCGTGCCATTCCACTCCAGCCTGGACAAAAAGAGTGAAACTTAGTCAAAAAAAAAAAAAAAGAAGAAAAAGAAAAAGGAAGGAAGGAAGGAAAGAAAGAAAGAAAGAAAGAAGGAAGGAAGGAAAGAAAGAAGGAAGGAAGGAAGAAACGAAGGAAAGAAGGAAGGAGGGAAGGAAGGAAGGAAGGAAGAAAAAGAAAGAAAGAAAGAAAGAAAGAAAGAAAGAAAGAAAGAAAGAAAGAAAGAAAGAAAGAAAGAAAGAAAGAAAAGGGCAGGGGAGGAACGACAGGGCTAAAATATATTCCCTTAGATTAAAACAAACCAAAAAACAAACAGGAGAAACAAGAGAGCAAAGACCACTTTCCAGTGACCAAAAACCCTGGTGTCTGGACTGTAAAGCAGACAGAAATCTCCTACAATTCTGGAAGTAGGCATCTGAGCTGTGAAAAAGGGCAGATCTCTAGGATTTTACAGGTGTTTCATTTCTTGGCTCCACAAAACAAACAAACAAACAAACAAAAACCTGATCCTGACTCCCAGACATATGAAGGTGGTAGTAAACTGAATCAAAATAAAGCTGTAGCAAAGTTCAGACCCTCCTTATATGCATAGCAGATTGACATAGATTTCACTTTAGATGCCCAGCAGAAGACAAGATACACCTTTTATACATAAGATCTGGCACAAACGTGAAGATAATATGATACAAGAGAAAAAAGTGGCAATCAATCTAGAGAGGGAAGTCAATAGAAGCAGGATGAGAAACTACCCAAATACTAAAATTGAATGAACAAATACGTAATAGCTATACAGTAGCTATGACAGAAGGCTAAAGATATAGTGAAAGGGTAGACAACTTGCTGCAAAAAGTTAAATTTCAGCAAAGACAAGGAAACTATAAGACGGAAACAAATAAAAATACTAGAAATTTTAAAATTTCGAAAACAAAGAAAAATGAAAACAACCCTGTGAGCCAAGAATTTCATATCAAGTAAAACTACTCATAAAGGTATAAAGGCAAAATGAATAGATCTTTAAACAGACAGAAGGTGATATAATTTGTTTCCAGCAGACTTACATTTCAAGAAAAGCTAGCAGAATTTCTTTGGTGTGAGAAGAAATGATGTCTGATCGAGTCCTGGATCTGTAGGACAAAAATGAGAACATTATTAAAAGAACATATCTGGGTTAATAAAAAAATAACTGTTTAGAGCAAAAATACATCAATATTACATCAATATATTGTGGGGTTTGGCATACACAGAAGTAAAATATAAGACACTAAGAACGAAGAGGGTGGGAAGTGAATAAGTAGAATTATATAGGTAGATGTTCCTTATATGATTTCTCTAATAGCATATTTGAAGGTAGATTTTTCCAATTCTGTGAAGAAAGTCATTGGTAGCTTGATGGGGTGGCATTGAATCTATAAATTACCTTGGGCAGTATGGTCATTTTCACGATATTGATTCTTCCTACCCATGAGCATGGAATGTTTTTCCATTTGATTGTAACCTCTTTTATTTCATTGAGCAGTGGTTTGTAGTTCTCCTTGAAGAGGTCATTTATATCCCTTGTAAGTTGGATTCCTAGATATTTTATTCTCTTTGAAGCAATTGTGAATGGGAGTTCACTCATGATTTGGCTATTTGTCTGTTATTGGTGTATAAGAATTCTTGTGATTTTTGCACATTGATTTTGTATCCTGAGACTTTGCTGAAGTTGCTTACCAGCTTAAGGAGATTTGGGGCTGAGACAATGGGGTTTTCTAGATATACAATCATGTCTTCTGCAAACAGGGACAATTTGACATCCTCTTTTCCTAATTGAATACCCTTTATTTCCTTCTCCTGCCTGATTGCCCTGGCCAGAACTTCCAACCCTATGCTGAAAAGGAGTGGTGAGAGAGGGCATCCCTGTCTTGTGCCAGTTTTCAAAGGGAATGCTTCCAGTTTTTGCCCATTCAGTATGATATTGGATGTGGGTCTGTCATAGATAGCTCTTATTATTTTGAGATACGTCCCATCAATACCTAATTTATAGTTCAAAAATGAATATTGTAATTTCTGCAGCAACAACTAAACAAGACTACATGAGGTATATTTCGTGTGTGTGTGTGTAAAAAAAGAGAGAGAGGGAAAGAGAAATAGCATACTACAAATTATGCAATTCATCACAAAATAAGCAGTAATAAGGAACTGAAGAATAAAAGCAGCTTGCATAAATTAAAACAAAAGCAAATAAGAAAGATTTAAAGTAATTATACCATTGATTATATTAACTATAATGAACTCTACAGCCTATTTCAAAGACAGAGTAAAATGATAGATTTTTTTGGAAGAAAAAATGCAGAAAAAGCAAGATGAAATCTTGCTATTTACAATAAACACATTTTACTGTAAAGGAAGTTAGGATGATAGTAAATAAAATAAAAAATAGCAACATAGAAACACTAAATATGAGATGGAACACCAAGTATAAGATGAAAGTAAATAAATGAAAAAACAACAACACAGAAACACTAAATATAAGAAAACCGATGTAGTTAGATTAATATTAGATAAAATAGCCTTCAAATAAAAAAAATTCCTAAAGATATAGAGGAACATTTTATAGTGGTAATAGAAAATGTCCATTCACACCCTCCAAAAGGGAAAATAGAAAAATTAATAAAAGTATAAAAGTTCTCACCAAGTACATAAGTGACATTTATAGAACATCACACCCAACACCTGCAAAAAATGAATATATAACCATGATCTGGGGAAAATATTCTCAGCGTGTATATCAATAATCTCTTGTGTTTAGATTATATAAAGAAACCTTTCAGTTCAAGATTAAGTTCACTACCATCACAATAAAGAAGGCAGAAATGATCTGGACAGTGACTTCACTAAATAAGATATAAAGACACCCAGAAAAATCTATGGGAAGATACATATAAGAATGTTCATTAAAAATACAAACAACTAATATGTGTAAATATTGGGCAAAAATTCAAACAGACTATATAAAATAAAATATATGAATAGCATGAGAAAATGTGTTCAACATGATTAATTAGCAGGACATTCTAATTAAACCACAATGATTACCACTTTAAACCTGCTAAAGGGGTTTCAATAAAAAAGAACAGCAACATAAAAAGTTGTCAAGATATGGAGCAAATGGAACTCTCATAACTTGCTGATATGTCTGCAAAACGTTGCAACCACACAGCAAAACAGCTTGTGTTTTCAAATAAAGTTAAACATACATCTATGTTATTATGCACAAATATCACTGTTAGGTAGATGTAGAGCGGTAATTGGTTTGGAAAGCTTGCCCTTGGGACTTTGGGGAAACTTGAGTATTTGTGCTTAGGTTGATGTGGTGAAGTATATAAAGATGGTGTTTTGTGTTTGTAATTTCTAGTTTTAAACTTATTTGTAATGATGTGTTAGTTAATTGAATATTTTAGAGTAGGTACAATATATGTTTGCTGTATTATCTGGCAATATTGAATTTTCCCATTCTAAATGTTAAAAAAACAAGTAAGATTGATGAAATTCATATAAAAAGTTAAGCATAAATAGTAAGTAATCTAGCATCTTGTTAAATCAATTCAAAACTCAGAGGATGTGGTAAATGTAGATAATGAGTAAGAAAGTAGTTTATAGGAGGTACCCGGTTCATCTCACTAGGGAGTGCCAGACAGTGGGCGCAGGTCAGTGGGTGCACGCACCGTGTGTGAGCCGAAGCAGGGCAAGGCATTGCCTCACTTGGGAAGCGCAAGGGGTCAGGGAGTTCCCTTTCCGAGTCAAAGAAAGGGGTGATGGACACACCTGGAAATTCCGGTCACTCCCACCCGAATACTGCGCTTTTCGGACCGGCTTAAAAAACAGCACACCACGAGATTATATCCCACACCTGGCTGGGAGGGTCCTACGCCCACGGAGTCTCCCTGATTGCTAGCACAGCAGTCTGAGATCAAACTGCAACGCGGCAGCGAGGCTGGGGGAGGGGCGCCTGCCATTGCCCAGGCTTGCTTAGGTAAACAAAGCAGCCTGGAAGCTCGAACTGGGTGGAGACCACCACAGCTCAAGGAGGCCTGCCTGCCTCTGTAGGCTCCACCTCTGGGGGCAGGGCACAGACAAAAAGACAGCAGTAACCTCTGCAGACTTAAATGTCCCTGTCTGACAGCTTTGAAGAGAGCAGTGGTTCTCCCAGCATGCAGCTGGAGATCTGAGAACAGGCAGACTGCCTCCTCAAGTGGGTCCCTGACCCCTGACCCCCGAGCAGCCTAACTGGGAGGCACCCCCCAGCAGGGGCAGACTGACACCTCACACAGCCGGGTACTCCAACAGACCTGCAGCTGAGGGTCCTGTCTGTTAGAAAGAAAACTAACAAACAGAAAGGACACCCACACCAAAAACCCATCTGTACATCACCATCATCAAAGACCAAAAGTAGATAAAACCACAAAGATGGGGAAAAAACAGAACAGAAAAACTGGAAACACTAAAAAGCAGAGCACCTCTCCTCCTCCAAAGTAACGCAGTTCCTCACCAGCAACGGAACAAAGCTGGATGGAGAATGACTTTGACGAGCTGAGAGAAGAAGGCTTCAGAGGATCAAATTACTCTGAGCTACGGGAGGACATTCAAACCAAAGGCAAAGAAGTTGAAAACTTTGAAAAAAATTTAGAAGAATGTATAACTAGAATAACTAATACAGAGAAGTGCTTAAAGGAGCTGATGGAGCTGAAAACCAAGGCTCGAGAACTACATGAAGAATGCAGAAGCCTCAGGAGCAGATGCGATCAACTGGAAGAAAGGGTATCAGCAATGGAAGATGAAATGAATGAAATGAAGTGAGAAGGGAAGTTTAGAGAAAAAGGAATAAAAAGAAATGAGCAAAGCCTCCAAGAAATATGGGACTATGTGAAAAGACCAAATCTACGTCTGATTGGTGTACCTGAAAGTGATGGGGAGAATGGAACCAAGTTGGAAAACACTCTGCAGGATATTATCCAGGAGAACTTCCCCAATCTAGCAAGGCAGGCCAACGTTCAGATTCAGGAAATACAGAGAACGCCACAAAGATACTCCTGGAGAAGAGCAACTCCAAGACACATAATTGTCAGATTCACCAAAGTTGAAATGAAGGAAAAAATGTTAAGGGCTGCCAGAGAGAAAGGTCGGGTTACCCTCAAAGGGAAGCCCATCAGACTAACAGCGGATCTCTCAGCAGAAACCCTACAAGCCAGAAGAGAGTGGGGGCCAATATTCAACATTCTTAAAGAAAAGAATTTTCAACCCAGAATTTCATATCCAGCCAAACTAAGCTTCATAAGTGAAGGAGAAATAAAATACTTTACAGACAAGCAAATGCTGAGAGATTTTGTCACCAGCAGGCCTGCCCTAAAAGAGCTCCTGCAGGAAGCGCTAAACATGGAAAGGAACAACCGGTACCAGCCGCTGCAAAATCATGCCAAAATGTAAAGACCATCGAGACTAGGAAGAAACTGCATCAACTAATGAGCAAAATAACCAGCTAACATCATAATGACAGGATCAAATTCACACATAACAATATTAACTTTAAATGTAAATGGACTAAATGCTCCAATTAAAAGACACAGACTGGCAAATTGGATAAAGAGTCAAGACCCATCAGTGTGCTGTATTCAGGAAACCCATCTCACATGCAGAGACACACATAGGCTCAAAATAAAAGGATGGAGGAAGATCTACCAAGCAAATGGAAAACAAAAAAAGGCAGGGCTTGCAATCCTAGTCTCTGATAAAACAGACTTTAAACCAACAAAGATCAAAAGAGACAAAGAAGGCCATTACATAGTGGTCAAGGGATCAATTCAACAAGAAGAGCTAACTATCCTAAATATATATGCACCCAATACAGGAGCACCCAGATTCATAAAGCAAGTCCTGAGTGACCTACAAAGAGACTTAGACTCCCACACATAAATAATGGGAGACTTTAACACCCCACTGTCAACATTAGACAGATCAATGAGACAGAAAGTCAACAAGGATACACAGCAATTGAACTCAGCTCTGCACCAAGCAGACCTAATAGACATCTACAGAACTCTCCACCCCAAATCAACAGAATATACATTTTTTTCAGCACCACACCA
Organism: Homo sapiens; assembly: GCF_000001405.40. Classification (NCBI taxonomy): domain Eukaryota; kingdom Metazoa; phylum Chordata; class Mammalia; order Primates; family Hominidae; genus Homo; species Homo sapiens. The sequence continues at coordinate 56,188,816 of NC_000010.11, forward strand.
CACCTATTCCAAAATGGACCACATACTTGGAAGTAAAGCTCTCCTCAGCAAATGTAAAAGAACAGAGATTATAACAAACTATCTCTCAGACCACAGTGCACTCAAACTAGAACTCAGGATTAAGAGTCTCACTCAAAACCGCTCAACTACATGGAAACTGAACAACCTGCTCCTGAATGACTACTGGGTACATAACAAAATGAAGGCAGAAATAAAGATGTTCTTTGAAACCAACGAGAACAAAGACACAACATAGCAGAATCTCTGGGACGCATTCAAAGCAGTGTGTAGAGGGAAATTTGTAGCACTAAATGCCCACAAGAGAAAGCAGGAAAGATCCAAAATTGACACCCTAACATCACAATTAAAAGAACTAGAAAAGCAAGAGCAAACACATTCAAAAGCTAGCAGAAGGCAAGAAATAACTAAACTCAGAGCAGAGCTGAAGGAAATAGAGACACAAAAAACCCTTCAAAAAATTAATGAATCCAGGAGCTGGTTTTTGAAAGGATCAACAAAATTGATAGACCGCTAGCAAGACTAATAAAGAAAAAAAGAGAGTATAATCAAATACACACAATAAAAAATGATAAAGGGGATATCATCACTGATCCCACAGAAATACAAACTACCATCAGAGAATACTACAAACACCTCTACGCAAATAAACCAGAAAATCTAGAAGAAACGGATAAATTCCTCAACACATACACTCTCCCAAGACTAAACCAGGAAGAAGTTGAATCTCTGAATAGACCAATAACAGGATCTGAAATTGTGGCAATAATCAATAGTTTACCAACCAAAAAGAGTCCAGGACCGGATGGATTCACAGCCAAATTCTACCAGAGGTACAAGGAGGAACTGGTACCATTCCTTTTGAAACTATTCCAATCAATAGAAAAAGAGGGAATCCTCCCTAACTCATTTTACGAGGCCAGCATCATCCTGATACCAAAGCTGGGCAGAGACACAATGAACAAAGAGAATTTTAGACCAATATCCTTGATGAACATTGATGCAAAAATCCTCAATAAAATACTGGCAAAACGAATCCAGCAGCACATCAAAAAGCTTATCCACCATGATCAAGTGGGCTTCATCCCTACGATGCAAGGCGGGTTCAATATATGCAAATCAATAAATGTAATCCAGCATATAAACAAAGCCAAAGACAAAAACCACATGATTATCTCAATAGATGCAGAAAAAGCCTTTGAGAAAATTCAACAACCCCTTCATGCTAAAAACTCTCAATAAATTAGGTGTTGATGGGACGTATCTCAAAATAATAAGAGCTATCTATGACAAACCCACAGCCAATATCATACTGAATGGGCAAAAACTGGAAGCATTCCCTTTGAAAACTGGCACAAGACAGGGATGCCCTCTCTCACTACTCCTATTCAACATAGTGTTGGAAGTTCTGGCCAGGGCAATTAGGCAAGAGAAGGAAATAAAGGGTATTCAATTAGGAAAAGAGGAAGTCAAATTATCCCTGTTTGCAGATGACATGATTGTATATCTAGAAAACCCCATTGTCTCAGCCCAAAATCTCCTTAAGCTGATAAGCAACTTCAGCAAAGTCTCAGGATACAAAATCAATGTACAAAAATCACAAGCATTCTTATACCCCAACAACAGACAAACAGAGAGCCAAATCATGAGTGAACTCCCATTCACAATTGCTTCAAAGAGAATAAAATATCTAGGAATCCAACTTACAAGGGATGTGAAGGACCTCTTCAAAGAGAACTACAAACCACTGCTCAAGGAAATAAAAGAGGATACAAACAAATGGAAGAACATTCCATGCTCATGGGTAGGAAGAATCAATATCGTGAAAATGGCCATACTGCCCAAGGTAATTTACAGATTCAATGCCATCCCTATCAAGCTACCAATGCTTTTCTTCACAGAATTGGAAAAAACTACTTTAAAGTTCATATGGAACCAAAAAAGAGCCCGCATCGCCAAGTCAATCCTAAGCCAAAAGAACAAAGCTGGAGGCATCACACTACCTGACTTCAAACTATACTACAAGGCTACAGTAACCAAAACAGCATGGTACTGGTACCAAAACAGAGATATAGATCAATGGAACAGAACAGAGACCTCAGAAGTAACACCGCATATCTACAACCATCTGATCTTTGACAAACCTGAGAAAAACAAGTAATGGGGAAAGGATTCCCTATTTAATAAATGGTGCTGGGAAAACTGGCTAGCCATATGTAGAAAGCTGAAACTGGATCCCTTCCTTACACCTTATACAAAAATCAATTCAAGATGGATTAAAGACTTAAACGTTAGACATAAAACCATAAAAACCCTAGAAGAAAACCTAGGCATTACCATTCAGGACATAGGCATGGGCAAGGAGTTCATCTCTAAAACACCAAAAGCAATGGCAACAAAAGACAAAATTGACAAATGGGATCTAATTAAACTAAAGAGCTTCTGCACAGCAAAAGAAACTACCATCAGAGTGAACAGGCAACCTACAAAATGGGAGAAAATTTTCACAACCTACTCATCTGACAAAGGGCTAATATCCAGAATCTACAATGAACTCAAACAAATTTACAAGAAAAAAACAAACAACCCCATCAAAAAGTGGGCAAAGGACATGAACAGACACTTCTCAAAAGAAGACATTTATGCAGCCAAAAAACACATGAAAAAATGCTCACCATCACTGGCCATCAGAGAAATGCAAATCAAAACCACAATGAGATACCATCTCACACCAGTTAGAATGGCAATCATTAAAAAGTCAGGAAACAACAGGTGCTGGAAAGGATGTGGAGAAATAGGAACACTCTTACACTGCTGGTGGGACTGTAAACTAGTTCAACCATTGTGGAAGTCAGTGTGGCGATTCCTCAGGGATCTAGAACTGGAAATACCATTTGACCCAGCCATCCCATTACTGGGTATATACCCAAAGGATTATAAATCACGCTGCTATAAAGACACATGCACAGGTATGTTTATTGCGGCACTATTCACAATAGCAAAGACTTGGAACCAACCCAAATGTCGAACAACAATAGACTGGATTAAGAAAATGTGGCACATATACACCATGGAATACTATGCAGCCATAAAAAATGATGAGTTCATGTCCTTTGTAGGGACATGGATGAAATTGGAAATCATCATTCTCAGTAAACTATCGCAAGAACAAAAAACCAAACACCGCATATTCTCACTCATAGGTGGGAATTGAACAATGAGATCACATGGACACAGGAAGGGGAATATCACATTCTGGGGACTGTGGTGGGGTGGGGGGAGGGGGAGGGATAGCATTGGGAGATATACCTAATGCTAGATGACGAGTTAGTGGGTGCAGCGCAGCAGCATGGCACATGTATACATATGTAACTAAACTGCACAATGTGCACATGTACCCTAAAACTTAAAGTATAATAATAAATAAATAAATAAATAAATAAATAAATAAAGTAGTTTATAAGTTATAGGAAGCATTAATTCATAATATGTGTTAAATATAGATTGAAATTAGTAATATGTACATTTTACTTATAGCTACAAAGGAATGGGAATAACAAGCCATAAATTTGAATTATCCTGCTCTACTGTAACCTAGGTCATCCCTAAATTGAATAGTTATTGGTGACAACCAGTGGGGTCCCAATCTGATTAGAGTGATATTTTCTTCAAAAAGTGACCCTCCTTGTTTTGTCCATTCTGATAATCCTCAATGTTGAGTGTCTCCTTCCAAAAATTATTACTGGATTTTCAGAAGAAAATATTTTAACTTCTACCTATGTTAACCTTATTTTATTATTTAAAAATTTGTATTTTAAGTATTATATAATGTGAATACTGTTAGGTAGAAATGTACATTTATATAACTTTAAATATAATAGTAAATATTTGACTGTTAAATTTAAAAAATCATACTGATAATGACCACTATAGAGAATGTGGAAATAAATACGTAATTTTTTTCTCTCAGATAAAGTAACTACAAGCTCTTCTACTACAAGTAGTGATGAGAAAATGCACAGGGAATAAAAATAAAATGCACAGGGAATAAAAATATTTCAAAAGAATACTTTTCTAAGATATGTGCATTATTACCCTGCATTATATTACCTAAATAATAACATATTATTTATCTATAATACATATTATATATTATATATATTTATATATAATAAATATATATTTAATTATATAAATATATATAATATATAAATTATATATAATTATATATATTTATATAATTATATGTATATATACATATAATTATATAATATATATTATATATACATATATAATATAATATATTATATATGTATATATAATATATAATATATATAATTATATAAATATATACACACCCCATCTCATTTATTATGAGATTTATTTATTATTATTTACATATATATATATACACACACACCCACATATGCACATACAATTTAAAACAAAAATCTGTCCACGCTGATTTCAAGATACAAAACCTTTCACTATAATAAACCACTCTGAGAGGTATAGGACCACTCTACAGCCATCTCAGCAAATTTTACCGCTGCTTGGCAACTTCTAGAGAAAACCAGTTATTTTAGCTGAACTCTTCTCTTGGTTTCCACGTCTATTTCACTCATCTGTTGGCCAAAAATGTGTACCACATTAAAGTAGCCAAGAAATCATTTCCAGCTCATAAGACTCATTTACTCCCATAACTAATGAGGATCCATTTACTCCCGTAACTGGTATGGTTCATGGAAATAAAATGTTAACGTTTAGATTTAATAAACCATCATCATCAAAAGTCATACTCATTTCAGGAGAGCAAAATAGTATTTTATCAGACACATATAAAACAATTATAAAAAAATCAGTGATTTGGAAAATACCACAGTAGTTTTACCATATGCTCCAGATTTCTAGTTATAATTTTGATAGATTTTCCTTGGCTTTTTAATATCTTACAAATATATTATTTCTGGACTTTTTGCCTGTCTGAATTCCAAGTCAGTGTTTTCTAGGCCTGCAGGAATATCTATGTCATCTGAGAATACTTAAAGCAATGCAGTTTCACAGGGTCTGGCTCCAGAAATTACCTTTTAATCGACCTGTTTCAGGGTACAAGCAACCGAATTTTCAATAGCTTTTTATAAAATTACATTTTGTGTAATATTTTTTCCAACAGATAGATCGATCATAAATCCATTGACTAAATACTATCTTGGATTAATTTTTTATTTCTAAAATTGAAGGTATTACTAGGTATTATTGTGATTTTTTATTGGAAGAAAGCAGTTTAAACTATTTTAGGATGGCTAAGTGGGAGTCTAACCTGGCTTCACTTGTATTGAGAATATGTCTCTGTAATTGGTGCATCAATAGTGTTGGCACCAATATTCTCTTTCCTGCTTAATAACTGATGCTAAATTCTTCTTAGAGTCTTAGAACTGATACTTACTTAAGAACAATAAGATTCAAGGTAAGCAAATTTTGCTCAGTTATAATGACCTATAACTTAAAATATTAAAGAAGAGTACTCTCTTGTTACAATCCTGAATTCCAACACCTAACTCTTCTAAATATGTAATTATTTTTTGTCCCAGTTATGAGAAGCTAGAGATCTGAAGAAGAGAAAAGATGTTAAGTTGTCTGCCTCTGTAATAAGAATTACATGATTCAGAAGTTATACCTGGGGCTTTCTTGCTGAAATGATGTAACTCTCTGCGAGCTTATGAAGAGAGTGGAAAAGAACTGAAATTGCTCCTATTTAGCCTAGAAAAAAAACAATACATTTCTCCCTAATTCCAAAGTGTGTTTTGAATGTTTTTAGGGGACACATTTAGACACTGAACATCAATATCTACCTCTCAGAAGAATACACACTCCTGCTACAGCAGAGAGCTATTTACGACAAATATCAGGAGCTTTACTGTATCATTATTGAGCTGAGAAACACACTAGTCTGCTCTACTGTACACACTAGCTGCCTTACTCAGCTGAGGCAGCCACAATAAGGAGAAAGACGTAACCTAGAGACAGAACTTTGGATTGAGCTAAAATTTAAAAAGTCAGTCACCAGGGTAAACTAGAGATACCTGAAAGCAAAACTTTAATTTCAGTGTTAAAACTAGAGACATGCAAATCACTGAAAGGGATAAGAAGATAGTAAATGCACACATGAAAATGTTCAACACCAAAAAAGTGCAAACAAAGACCATAATGGGATCTCACTACACACCTTTCAGAATTTTTAAAAATTATTATTATTATAACACCAGATACTAGGGAGAAGTTAGAGAATCTGGATCACTCATACATTGCTGTTGGTGATAGAGCCAGCAGACAGCCAAGGGTCCCTGGTGAAACACTGCCCTCAAGCCTAGAAGGGAATGAATGCTGAAAAAACGAATTCCTGGTCCCAGATAAAACATGTGACCCAGAGAGACAACTGCCCCTGGTTGTCCAGCCTTTCCCAACCGATTCTTTCTGAATAATGCCCACATGCACACCGGGGGAATAGGGTGGAGCCACGAGGAGTTCCCTCCCTGGTCAGGGAGAGGAAGGCTGGCATCTTCCATTCCTGTGTTGTGGCGTAGAATCAATTCGTGAGGTGGGGGCCTGTTAGCAGTACTCCGTCTCATATACTGAGAGTTTTTTTTTTTTTTTTTTTTGCTTTTTTCCTTTTTACCCAATAAATCCCACTCTACTCACGCTTCAATGTGTCCATGAGCCTAATTTTTCCTGGTGGCATGAGAAGTACCTGGTTTTAGCTAAACTAAGGAGCAAAATTCTACAACAGTGGGAATGCAAAATACTCCACTGTGGTAGTCTGTCAGTTTTGTATGTAACTAACTGCAATTCTGACATAATCCAGTTATTGCATTTAAAAAAAAACTAACTTTCATTTTAGATTCAGGGAGTGCATGTACAGGTTGTTCACATGGCTGTATTGTGTGATTCTGAGGTTTGGATATGAATGAAATCACCCAAATAGTGAGCTCAGTACCCAATAGTTTTTTGTTTTCCACCCTTGCCACTCTCTTTCTTGTTTCCTCTAGTAGCCACATGTGTCTATATTGCCATATTTATGTCCATGACTATCCAATATTAGCTCCCACATAAGTGAGAATACGTCATATGTAGTTTTCTGTTCCTGCATTAATTCATTCAGGAGAGTGGCTTCCAGCTGTATCCATGTTGCGGCAAACAACAAGATTTCATTTTTTTATGGCTGTGTAGTATTATGTGGTGCATATGTACCACATTTTTAAATACAATCCACCATTGATAGGCACCTAAGGTGATTTCATATTTTTGCTGTTGTGAATAGTGCTGTGGTAAACATATGAGTGAATGTGTCTTTTTTGTAAAACAATTTATTTTCTTTGGCATACATACCCAGTAATGGGATTGCTGGGTAGACCAGTAGTTCTAACTTCTTTGAGAAATCACCACACTTTCCACAGTAGCTGAACTAATTTACATTTCCACCAACAGTGTTAAGCATTCTCTTTTCTGTGCAGCCTTGCCAGCATCTATTGTTTTTTGACTTTTTAATAATAGCCATTCTGACTATTTGGTTTGAGATGGTATCTCATTGTGGCTTTGCTTTGCACTTATCTGATGATTAGTGATTCGGAGCATTTTTTTATATATCTGTTGGTAATTTGTATGTCTTCTTTTCAGAAATGTCTGTTCATGTCCTTTGCCCATTTTTTAATGGGGCTATTTGTTTTTTCTTTTTCAATTGTTTAAGTTCATTACAGATTCTGAATATTAGGCTTTTGTTGTATACACAGTTTGTAAATATTTTCTCCCATTCTGTAGGTTGTCTGTTTACTCTGTTGATAGTGTCTTTTGCTGTGCAGAAGCTCTTTAGTTCAATTAGGTCCCTCATATGGTTTTGTTGTGTCCCCACCCAAATCTCACCTTGAATTGTTAATTCCCATAATCCCCACATGTAGTGGAAGGGACCTGGTGCGAGGTAATTGTATCCTGGGGGTAGTTACCCTCATGCTGCTGTTCTCATGATAGTGAGTGAGTTTTCATAAGATCTGATGATTTTATAAAGAGCTTTTTCCTCTTTGCTCGGCACTTCTCCTTCCTGCCAAAATGTGAAGAAGCAAACATGTGTCTTCTTCCCCTTTCACCATGATTGTAAGTGTCCTTAGGCCTTCCCAGCCATGCAGAACTGTGAGTCAATTAAAACTCCTTCCTTTATAAATTACCCAGTGTTGGGTAGTTTTTTATAACAGTGTGAGAATGAGCTAATTCAGTCTCACCTGTCAATTTTTGTTTTTGTTGCAGTTGCTTTTGAGGTTTAGTCATAAATTCTTTCCCAATGCTGATGTCCAGAATGATGTTTCCTAGGTTTCTTCTATTATTCTTACAGTTTTAGGTATTACACTAAATTTTTAATCCCTCTTGAGTTAATTTTTGTATATGGTGCAAGATCCTTATCTTATGCAAGATCCGTATACCCATATACGGCTAGCCAGGTATCCCAGCACCATTTATTAAATTGAGTGTCCTTTTCCCATTGCTTATTTTCGTTGACTTTGTCAAAGATCAGATGGCTTTAGGTGTGGGGCCTTATTTTTGGGTTCTGTATTCTCTTCCATTGGTCTCTGTGTCTGTTTTTGTACCAGCACCATATGGTTTTGGTTGCTGTAGCCTTATAGTATAGGTGGAAGTCAGGTAATATGATGCCTCTAGCTTTGAGCTTTTTGCTTAAGATTGCTTTGGTTTGGGGGCTCTTTTTGGGGGTTCCATATAAATATTTGAATATTTATTTTTCTAATTTTGGGAGAAAATGTTGGTGGTTTGATAGGAATAACACTGAATCTGTAGATTGCTTTGGGCAGTAAGGACATTTTAACGATATTGATTCTTCCAGCCTAAGAGTATGGAAGTATTTTCCGTTTATTTCTGTCATTTATGATTTCTTTCAGCAGTGTCTTGTAATTCTCCTTTTAGAGATCTTTTACCTCCACGGTTAGATATATCCTAGGTATTTTAATTTTTTGCGGCTATTGTAAATGAGATTGCCTTCTAAATTTGGCTGTCAACTTAGATGTTATTGGTATATAGGAATTCCACTGATTTTTAAACATTGATTTTGTATCCTGAAAGTTAACCAAAGTCATTTATCAATTCCAAAAGCCTTTTGGGGAAGTATTTTGGGTTTTCTAGGTATAGAATCATATTGTCAGTGAAGAGAGATAATTTGTCCTTTTCTTTTCCTATTTGGATGCCTTTTATTTTGTTCTCTTGCCTGATTGTACTGAGTAGGACTTTCTGTGTTTTTATTAGGCATTTATCCTATAGAAATGGAAATCTATGTTCACATAAAAATATATATATTGAAATATATAGCAATTTTGTTTTACTAGCCAAAAACTGGAAACAACTCAACTACCCTTCAACAAATGAATTGTTATACAAACAGATGAATTGTTATACATACATCCATACATGGAATAATATGCAGCAATAAAAAAGAACAACTAGGGGGTATATGAAACAACTTGGATGAATCTCCAGGGAATTGATTTAAGTCAAAAAAGCCAATCTCAAACTATTACTATTTTATTCCTTTTAGATAGCATTTTTAGTGACAACATTTAGAAGTGAAGAACAGATTATTGTTATTAAGGGTTAAAGTTAAGAGGGATGTAGGAGTGAGACTGATGTGGTTATAACATGGAAACACAAAAGTTGCTTATGTTGATGGACTTGTTAAATATCTTGACTGTGGTGACGGATACAAAAACTACATATGTGAAAGAATTGCCTGGAAATGAAAATACACATACATCCCACAAAATAAGCACATGTTAAGTAAGGGAAATCTACGCTAAATTAGCTGATTGTATAATATCAATATTAATGGATGTGACGTTACGCTATAGCTTGGCAAAAATTTTGACATCAGAGGAAAATTAATAATGTTTACACAGGACTATTAATGTATGTGAATCTATAATTTTCTCAAAAAAATTAAAATAATAATGAAAATAATAATCAAACTATATTTACCAGATATAAAAGATAGACATTCTTAGATTTTAATGGCAACTAAGTACCCAGAAAATTCATAAAAATTAATCCACACTATATAGTTCATCAATGCAAAATTGAAAAATTAAGTGCAAAGAAAAGGCATAATCAATATACCATTTCTGAATGTGAATCAGAATGGAATTGCAATGATAGCACTAAATCCTAGTACATGAAGAAACATGTTCATATTCTGTGGAAAGAATATTTCCCACTTAGAACTCTCGATTCAACCAAATTTCCTTTGTATGTTTGAAGAGGAGGGCATATAGAGATATTTTCATACAATGTTTCAGAAACTTTTCTACACAATGAACTTCTCTCAGAAATATATTGGAGATTTTCCACTACAATAAAGAAATAAATAGGAATATAAAAGTTACAGGCATCAAGAAACAAGCAATTCAAATGGATGACAAACAAAAAGAATTCTCACAATGATATCGAAAAAATATACCTACATAAAAATTCTACTAAATAAAAATTCAACTAAAAATTCAAACTAAATTTTAGGTATAATTCTATACCTATACAAAAATTCAAACTAAAAAAAGCAACAAGGTAAAACTAAATTGTTCAAAGGGCCCTGAGAAAGATTTATTCAAAAAATAAAATTAATGGATTATCTAATGTATCAGCATATATTATGAGAAAGCTTTACAAAACTCAGAGTCATAGATTGAATTTGAAATATGAACATAGAAAACTAAGTAAATGGAAATAACAGACTATTGTTAGCAAAAAAAAAAATGTTGTGAAGAAAATGAAAAGCAGTAATAGAGTACTGCATGGACAGCTCCAAATGTTTTTCTATGCTGATCATATGATAAGCCTGCATAGTGACCATCCTTGTAGAGATAGTGGGAGGATTTGTGCTAGAAAATATGTGTAGAGACAGTGTGGGATGCTAAATGTTAATCTTCCATAAGTGAAACAAATTAATAGATCATATCTATATGTTAAAGATCAAAAAATTGCAAACATATTGAAGATATGAAGGGATATTAAAATAATCAGTGAAAGGAATTGAATATGATTGTCTCTGGGGAAAAAATGGTAGAGGAAAGAAATGTAGAATTGTGCAACTTTTAGAAAAATCTCATGAAAATATTTGAAATATTAAATCATATTCATTGTTAACTTTAACTGAAATTAAAACTAAGCTTATTTTAAGTTTAAAGTTTACTTAATATAAATATATTGTTTATATGTACACACATTTATCTAAAAGCATTTATACTAAATGTGTATTTTTTATATGTGCACACACACGTAGATGCTAATGCATATACATGCAAATATATGCATTAACATATAAATATATCTATAAATTTCAATTCATTCTAAGAAGATTTTAAATTCACTTAATAATGTGTCTTACATAAGGCTATGCAAATTTCACATTTTGGTATAACTTTGAGAAAATAATACTAAAAATGTTTACTGTCCTGTAAAAGGAAAAACACTTTTAAAGCTACTGAAACTTCAAATAGGATGTTTATTACTACAGAGAATATAACAGAATTCAATGACAGTAATTTCACCCTAAATGGATGGGAATTTGATACCAGGAAAATGGAGTTACATACAAATAAGTCATTGAAAAATATTGAAGCGAATGCACCACAGGAGAAAACATTATGAAAAACCTGCCTTCCTCATTTCACAATTAGTAGAATTACAGATGACACTGAGAAGTGTCATATATTGAAATTGTGCCCTGAAATGTTCATTATAAAAGTCAGGGTTTATTTGCAATATTTTGATTTGATGTCTTCATAGAAACTCCACTTAGGATACTGGTAGAGAAAAGTATCTAATTTACACCTAGTAACTTTATATTTTAACTTCAAACTTAAATTTTACAAAGGCTCATGAAATTAAATATATGCATATGTAACTTAAACTGCTAAAGTTAAGGGCTTTCGTTAGGCAGCATTATTTTCATAACTTGTAACTTCCACAATTAGTGTTTGCTTTTCTGATAATACTTGTAAAAGATACCACCTAAAATGCATAGACATGTCTAATTTATAATATAAATAGTATAATCAACAGGAACTCTTAGAAGATTTCTGTCTCTACTAACAACAGCTGGACTCGGCTGGACTTTTCCATAAATAACTAAAAATAATTGGAAAAGAACTACAAGTAAATGTTGCAGACATTGTTCAAAACATGTAAGAGTCTAATAAGTGACATAGTGACAGAAACACTATGATTTCTCAGAATTTCTACCCAGAAATTCTGGGAATTTCTGTGCAGCAAGGAAGCCACTATAAATAAAACCTGGCAATCTCTCTGGGTGGAGAAAATTTAGGTCAGTGTTAGAGGTGACCAAAGTAACTACACTTCTCAGGGCAGAGTAAAAAGATGTTAGAGAAAGAGCTGCAACAACTTCTACTAACCTTCCTTTGGTCTGTTACTTCGTAATAAAGGACATATAAGGTAAAATTTTATAAGACAAACCAAAAAGTACCTGAGAAATTATAAACTTAGACATTCACAGAATCTGTACAGTGCTAGAAGAAATTTGAGTTAAAATCAATCAGAGTAGAGGTACATTGATGAACATGACGATATTTAATAAATAACTCAGTAGTGCAACACTAGGTTAGTAGAAGAATCTAGGACAAAAGCAAAAGCTGCTTTACACTTTTCTTAGCAAAGCTAAAAATAAGTCTCAAAAGAATTAAGCTGATCCACAAATAAGGTAACTGCCCACCCAAACGAAGTTTAACACTCTTTAAAGAAAGATTACTAAATCCCAATACTCAATAATGTAACATTAACAGCATACAATTATATTAACAAGCATATAAGTTAATACAAGAGTTTATTAATTATTCACTAATGCAATTAGTAAACACACAAAAAATCAGGAAAAGTGAACCATAGAAAGGAGAAATAAAAACAGAAATAACCAGTAATAATGGAAATGTAAGAATTGGTAGACAAGTACTTTAAAAAAGTAATTATAAATACACTAAGATTAAAGAAAAATAGAATCATAATTAATAGAAAAATGAAGAACTATCAAAGAAGCAAAGAAGAAGAAAAATGTCAATATCTAAATTAAAAATGCATAGAATGGGCTTAAAATCAATTATGTTCCAGAAAATAGGATCAGTGGTCAAGATAAGAACACTTTCTATCTAAAAATTGAAACTATCCAAATTGAAGGACTCAGGGAAAACTATGTCAAGAAAAATAAGGAAAAGATCCTTAATGAACGCTGAAATAATATTGAGTGGTTTAAAATACGTAGAACTGAAGACATAGTGGCTAACAGTTTTCCAAAATTGTGAACACTATAATCTCAAAAATTAAAGAAGCTGACTGAATTAAGGCCAGATACACAGAGAGAAAACCACATCAAAACACCTTGCTGAAAAGCAGTTATAAGAAACACTCTTGAAATAAACAAGAGAGAAAGACACATTAGAGAGAAAGATCACAAATTTCTAATCAGAAAAATGCAAAGCCGAAGAAAATGGAATGGCATCTTTAAAGTGATGAAATAAAAAATCAAACAATAACTTGTATCTGGCAAATATATACAATGTAAGTGAAAGAATCTCCATGCAATAAATGTTAAATGAAGTGCTGTTAAAGAAAAACATACCGTAAACAAAATTGGATCTTCAAAAAGGAATTGAATACACCAGAATTGGTAAATATGTGGAGAAATATAACATATTTTGCATGTTTATTTAAAGTTGACTAACTAAAGCAAAAACAAATTTAAAAATGAATACAAATATAGTCTTGGTTTTTAAATAAATACAGAAGTACAATATATGGTAACAATAGCACAAGACAAGAGACAAATAGAAATAAACTTATGTAAGTTTCTTACATTATGTTTGAAGTGGTATAATATTACTTGACTATAGATTGTGATAAATTAAAGATACATGTTAACATATTTTTTTCTAACAAAGGTTTACAGATAATGAGCCAGTAGTGAAAAACTATGAAAATCTAAGTAGTAAAATTTTCAGTTAATTTCCTGATCAAAAAACAAAACCAAACAAAAAATCACACAAAGGAAATATAACAGACAAAAGAAACAGAGAACATATTGCACATACAGAAAACAAATAGCAAAATGGTAGACTTAAATGTACCACAATAATTAATATATACCAAAATCATTGTAATTCAGAGAGAGATTATAAGCCTCATCAAAGAATCATGACCAAATTATATCTTTTTCTAAAGAAATAAATTTTAAATATAAACAAACAAATAAGTTAAAAGTGAAAGAATGCAAGAAGATATATATTCCATGCACTAATGAGAAGAGACCTAGACTGGTTCTACTAATATCAGATAGTGTAATTTCAAGACAAAACAGTAGTTCTAGAGAATTGTATATGTATATGAACTTTATTACAAAACTAGACAATGCATAAAGAAGTAAAAACTGACAGAACTGAAGAGAGAAATACATAAATCCAAAATTACAATTAGAGATTCTTGTAGTCTTGTTTCAGTAATCAATAGATTAAGTGGACAGAAAATCAGTAATTATACAGATGACTTGAACAATGCTATCAACCGATGTCATTTAACATTTGTAGACCACTTCATAAAAAATAGTAAAATACACATTCTTTAAAAGTGTATTTTGAAGTTTGTACATGGCAAATTCTCAAACACAAACCATATGCTTGAGTACAAAACAACTCTTGATAAATGTAAGAGAAATAAAATGATGTAGAATGTATTCTCTGACCATAATGGTATTAAATCATAAATTAATAAAATAATACATGAAAATCCTAAATATTCTGAAACTAACAAGATCATTTTAAA